>NW_009646204.1:0-211377 GCF_000001405.40 Homo sapiens
CTCTATTATGTCATTGCATTTTTCAGCTCTAGTGTCTCTGCTTCATTCTTTTTAATTGATTTAATCTCTTCCTTCAATTTCTCTTATAGGATTCTGAATTCCTTCTCTGTGTTATCTACAATTTGATTGAGCTTCCTCAAAACAGCTATTTTAATTCTCTATCTGAAAGGTCACATATCTCTGCAAATCTGGAATTAGTCACTGGTGGTTTTTTTAGTTCATTTAGTGAGGTTATGTTTTCCTGGATGGTATTGATGCTTATGGATGTTCATCAATGTCTGGTCATTGAAGACTTAGATATGTATCGTAGTCTTCTCAGTCTGGGCTTGTTTGCACCTGTCTTTCTTGGGAAGCATTTACAAGTAGTCAAAGGGAATTGAGTGGTGTGATCTAAGTATTTGGTCACTACAGCTCTGTATGCATTGGGGACACCCCAAGCCCAGTAATGCTTTGACTCTTGCAGACTTGTAGCAGTATGACTTTGGTGTTCTTGCATAAGAGCTGGGAGAATTCCCTGGATTACCAGGAGTCTCTTGTTCTCTTCCCTTACATTTCCCCAAACAAATTCTCTTTCCATGCTGAGCTGCCAGGACTTGGAGGGAGAGTGACATAAACACTCCCATGACCACCACTGCTGGGACACTGGGTCACACCTGAAGCCAGCACGATACTCACACAAGGCATGTGATGACTATTTCCTAGATATTGCTGATGTTTATTCAAGGCCCAAGGGCTCTTTAGTCAGCAAGCTGTGAATCCTGCCAGGCCTGAGTCTCTGTTCAGGTAAGTAGGTCCTTCTGGACCAGGAAAGATCTAGAAATTCCCCATAGAACCCTGGAGCCAGAGACCTTGGGAATCTGTTTGATGTTATATTTTATTGTGGCTAAGCTGGTACCTAAGTTGCCAGAAAAAGTCCCTTTTGCTTCTCCTCCTTTCCTCAAGGAGAAGGAATTTTTCCCTGTAACCATCACAGCTGGGAATGTGCTGTATCATACCTGAAGCTAGCATGGTACTGGGTCTTGCCCAAGGCCCATGGTTACGACTGCCTGGCTACCACTAGTTTATTCAAGGCCCAAGGGATTTTTGGTCAGCATGTGGTGAATTCTGCCAGAAATGGGTCCTTCCCTTCAGGGCAGTAGGTTCTCTCTGGCCCAGGGTGAGTCTAGAAATGTGTCACAGGAACAATGGCCCAGAATAGGAGCTTCAGGTCTCTGCTTGGTGCTTTATCTTATTGTGGCTGAGCTGGTATCCAAGTTGCAGCAGCAAGTCTTCTTTACTCTTCCTTCTTTTCCCATAGCTGCCAGATGTACTGCCTGGAGTTGGAGGAAGGATGATACAAGCACTGCTCCCTTGGCCACTCCAGCTAGTATCTCACTGGGTTGTGTGCACCACAAGTCTACTGGCTTGGAGCCCAGCACAGCACCAAGTCTTGCCCAGTAGTTGCAGCCGTCTGGCTTAAAGTGCCCTGGGGTCCTATTTTGAGGTTTAAATAAACTAAATAGGACTCCAGGGCACTTTAGGCTATGGTGGTGAGGTTAGCTGGAACTTAGTTTTTGACTGCTGGGATGGATGATTCCCCTCGCTAAGGCCAGTTTAAATGTTCCCTCAATGGGCCCCAGCTGAATCTTCCCTGTGTTGCTTTCCACTGTGACAGGGAAGCACTGAGTTCCAATGTAAAGTTCCACAGTCACTGGGCTCTCTCTCTCTCCCAAGCATAGGGGTACTTTCTCCGCACCACGCTGCCCTGCCAGAGGTGGGGGGAGAGGTGTTGTACACAATTTAAGATGATCTTTCCTACCCTATTCAGTGTCTTTTTCCTTGATATAATGTTAAAACCAGATACTGTGATTGCTCACCTGATTTTGGTTATTATAAAGGTGCATCTTTGTGTGGATAGTTGTTCAGTTTGATGTTCCTGTGCAGGGAATGTTCTCTGGGGGGCTCTAATTAGCCATCTTGCTCCAACTACTCTTTGCCAATATTTTTGAAAAGCTTTATAAGTGGGTGGAGTGTTTGACTTACAAATTCTTCATTATCTTAAAGGATCAATCAGACAAATGCACAAATATTTATATAAAATACATTATTCACAGTGTTATACAAGAATAAGGAACTATCTATCTTTTTCTTTTTTTTTTGAGACAGATTCTCACTCTGTTGCCCAGACTAGAGTGCAGTGGCACCATCTCTGCTCACTGAAAGCTCTGCCTCCCGGGTTCACGCCATTCTCCTGCCTCAGCCTCCTGAGTAGCTGGGACTACAGGTGCCCGCCACCACACCCGGCTAATTTTTTTGTATTTTTATTGGAGACAGGGTTTCACCATGTTAGCCAGGATGGTCTCGATCTCCTGACCTCATGATCTGCCTGCCTTGGCCTCCCAAAGTGCTGGGATTACAGGCGTGAGCCATCGTGCTGGGCCAGAAACTATCTTAATATTTAGTTAGAATTAACTAAAATGCCCAAAGATATTTATTATTTAAATACCCTCTGGTATATCTGTAATGTGGAGTACTATGCAGGCACTAAAAAAATAAATACAATAACTTAAATGTTTGTGTATAATATTAGGCTTAAAAGATGTAATCAAACAGTATGAATTGTATTAATTTTCTAAAAGCCATGGAATTTATTTTAAATCTTTCTCAGAAGCATTTTCTTTAATGTATAAATAAAAAACACATTAAACTGCAAACTTGTGTGGATGTGAGAAAATGATGCTACCACTGAGTGGTTTCAGACCACATTTTGATAATTAATTACTTCGCATTTGCAGCAAATTTTTATAAGGGAAGTATATTCCATTAAAGTTAAAGATCCATGAACACTTTGAAAGCCCCCTCTTTCATGTGCATCCATGTGAAGAGACCACCAAACAGGCTTTGTGTGAGCAATAAAGCTTTTAATCACCTGGGTGCAGGCAGGCTGAGTCCGAAAAGAGAGTCAGTGAAGGGAGATAAGGGTGGGGCCATTTTATAGGATTTGGGTAGATAAAGGAAAATTACAGTCAAAGGGGATTTGTTCTCTGGTGGGCAGGACTGGGGACCACAAGGTGCTTTTTGAGCTTTTTGAGCCAGGAAAAGGACTTTCACAAGGTAATGTCATCACTTAAGGCAAGGACCGGCCATTTTAACTACTTTTGTGGTGGAATGTCATCAGTTAAGGCAGGAACTGGCCATCTGGATGTGTAGGTGCAAGTCACAGGGGATATGATGGCTTAGCTTGGGCTCAGAGTTCTGACATTCCTGTCTTCTTATATTAATAAGAAAATTAAAACAAAATAGTGGTAAAGTGTTGGGATGGTGAAAATTTTTTGGGGGGTGGTATGGAGAGATAATGGGTGATGTTTCTCAGGGCTGCTTTGGGCAGGATTAGGGGTGGCGTGGGAACCTAGAGTGGGAGAGATTAGGCTGAAGGAAGATTTTGTGGTAAGGGGTGATACTGTAGGACTGTTAGAAGAAACACTTGTCATATAGAATTATTGGTGATGGCCTGGATACAGTCTTGTATGAATTGAAAAACTAAATGGAATAAGAGAAGGAGAAAAACAGGTATTAAAGGCCTAAGAATTGGGAGGACCCAGGACATCTAATTAGAGGGTGCCTAAGGAGATTCAGCATAGTCCTGCCAGCAAAGATTATTTATTTACTTTAAGAGTTAAGAGTGGCGGTTTGGGGATAGCACCAGGAGATATCAGCTGTGAAGGCTTGGAGAAACACTGTAAACCGGCAGTATACACAAGAGCAGAGCATGCACGAGTAGTTGAGAACGGTGAATAGGAGTATGACTAGACAGAAAATAGTAGGGATGACAAATTTTTTGGGGTACAGTCCAAGTTGGTCTGGTGAGACTGGGGCTTAATAAAAAGGAGCATCCATACAGGAACTCAAATGGGTTGTACCCTGTAGCATTCCAAGGACAGGCCTGAATTCTGAGAAGGGAAAATGGTAAAAAGTATTGTCCAGTCCTTTTTAAGTTGGTGGCTGAGCTTGGTGAGGTGTGTTTTTAAAAGACCATTAGTCTGTTCTACCTTTCCTGAAGACTGAGGACTGTAAGGTATATAAAGGTTTCACTGAATACCAAGAGCCTGAAAAAATGCTTGGCTGATTTGACTAATAAAGGCCGGTCTGCTATTGGACTGTGTAGAGGTGGGAAGGCTAAACTGAGGAATTATATCTGACAGAAGGGAAGAAATGACTGTGGTGGCCTTCTCAGACCCTGTAGGAAAGGCCTCTACCTATCCAGTGAAAGTGTCTACCTAGACTAAGAGGTATTTTAGTTTTCTGACTGGGGGCACAGGAGTAAAGTCAATTTGCCAGTCCTGGGTGGGGGCAAATCCTCGAGCTTGATGTGTAGGGAAGGGAGGGAGCCTGGATAATCCCTGAGGAGTAGTAGAACAGCAGATGGAACACTGAGAAGTTACTTCCTTGAGGATAGATTTCCACGATGGGAAGGAAATGAGAGGTTCTAAGAGGCGGGCTAGTGTATAGCATAGCCTGCCTTTGCTGGTGTGTGGCAATTAGGCCTGGTGGAACTGCCACCAATAAACCAAGTGTGATCAGGGTGAGGAACAGGAAAGAAGGAAATATGGGGAAATGAGGTGAATGTCAGGTGGATCAGAGAGATACAGTCATGGGAGTCAGGTGTGGTATCAGGAATAATGTGGGAGGTGGGATTGAAGTCCAGGCCAGGAACAATGGCAATTGTGGGAGACTCAACAAAGAGTGAGTACAGCTGAAGGAGCCGGGAGCAGAAAGTATGTGTGTCAGATGTGAGGAAGAAAATAGATTTTGCAAGTTATGAGAACTGTAGAGAGTGAGCTGAGCATAGTTCGTGATTTTAAGGGTCTCTAAAAGTATTAGGGCAGCGGCGGCCGCTGCACACAGACTTGAGGGCTAGGCCAAACAGTAAGGTCAAGTTTTTTGGATAAAAAGGCTACAGGGTGTGGTCCTGGCTCTTGTGTAAGACTTCTGACTGCACTAACCATGCCTAGGAAGGAAACAAATTGTTTTGTAGAAGGTGCTGGGGTTTGAGAGATCAGTCGGATATGATCGGCAGAGAGAGCACATGTGTTTTTATGAGAATTATGCTGAGATAGGTAACAGATGAGGATGAAATTTGGGCTTGACTGACGTAATGGGGGCTGTCTGTGAAGACTTGTGGCAGTACAGCCCAGGTAATTTGCTGAGCCTAATGGCTGTCAGGGTCAGTCCAAGCGAAAGCGAAGAGAGGCTGGGATGAAGGGTGCAAAGGAATAGTAAAGAAATAGTAAAGGAATAGTAAAGAATAGTAAAGAAATAGTAAAGAAATAGTAAAGAAATAGCAAAGGAATAGTAAAGAAAGCATGTTTGAGATCCAGAACAGAATAATGGGTTGTAGAGGGAGGTATTGAGGATAGGAGAATATATGGGTTTGGCAGCACAGGGTGGATAGGCATAACAATTTGGTTGATAAGGTGCAGATCCTGAACTAACCTGTAAGTCTTGTCTGGTTTTAGGACAGGTAAAATGGGGGAATTGTTAAGGAGAGTTTATAGGCTTTAAAAGGCCATGCTGTAACAGGTAAGTAATAACAGACTTTAATCCTTTTAAAGCGTGCTGTGGGATGGAATATTGGCATTGAACAGGGTGAGGGTGATTAGGTTTTAATGGGATGGTAAGGGGTGCATGATCGTTCACTGAGGAGGGAGTAGAGGTGTCCTATACTTGTGGGTTAAGGTGGGGAGATACAAGGGGAGGATGTGAAGGAGGCTTTGAACTGGGCAAAAAGATGGCAATGAGATGTAGCTGTAGCCCAGGAATAGTCAGGGGAGCAGATAATTTAGTTCAAGTGTCTCAGCCTAATAAGGGAACTGGGCAGGTGGGGATAACTAAAAGGAGTGCTTAAAATAGTATTGTCTAAGTTGGCACCAGAATTGGGGAGTTTTAAGAAGTTTAGAAGCCTGGCCGTCAATACCTGCAACAGTTATGGAGGCAAGGGAAACAGGCCCTTGAAAAGAAGGTAATGTGGAGTGGGTAGTCTCCGTATTGATTAAGAAGGGGACGGACTTACCCTCCACTGTGAGAGTTACCTGGAGCTCGGCGTCCGTGATGGTCTAGGGGGCTTCCGAGGTGATCGGGCAGCATCAGTCTTCAGCCACTAAGCTGAGAAGATCTGGAAAGGAGTCAGTTAGAGAGCCTTGGGCCAGAGTTCCAGGGGCTCTGGGAGTGGCTGCCAGGTGAGTTGAACAGTCCGATTTTCAGTGGGGTCCCACACAGATGGGACGTGGCTTAGGAGGAATCCTGGGCTGCAGGCATTCCTTGGCCTGGTGGTGGCCAGATTTCTGGCACTTGTAGCAAGCTCCTGGGGGAGGCGGGCCTGGAGGAATGCCTGGCCACTGCGGTTTCGGCGTTTGGAAGTTCTTGTGTGTTAGAGATGTGGCTGGGGTTTGTCTCACAGTGGAGGCAAGGAATTGCAACTCAGAAATATGTTGCTACTTGGCTGCCTCTATTATTGTATACCTTGAAGGTGAGGTTAATTAAGTCCTGTTGTGGGCTTTGAGGGCCGGAATTTAATTTTTGGAGTTTTACATAATGTCGGGAGCAGATTGGGTAATAAAATGTATATTGACAATAAGACGGCCTTTTGACCTTTTAGGGTCTAGGGCTGTAAAGCTTCTCAGGGTTGCTGACAAATGAGCCATGAACTGGGCTGGGTTTTTATATTTGATGAAAAAGAGCCTAAACGCTATCTGATTTGGGATAAAGAAAAAGGAGCATTAACTTTGACTGTGCCTTTAGCTCCAGCCATCTTTTTAAGAGTAAATTGCTGGGCAGGTGGGGGAGGGCTAGTCATGGAACAAAACTGTAAGCTGGACTGGGTGTGAGGAAGGGAGTTGATAAAAGGATTATAAGGTGGAGGAGCAGAGGCTGAGGAAGAATTGGGACCTAGCTCAGCCTGGCGAGGAAGGGAGAGATCAGATGGGTCTGTAGAAAAGGAAGATTAGAAAGACTCAGCGATGCTTGGGGTTGGGACTGAGGGGACAGGCAGGAGGGAAAGAAGGAAGATTTGGGACGAGTTGCATTGGGAACAGAGACTAGGGAGGGACCCATGTGTGAAAGAATGCCTGGATATCAGGCATCTCAGACCTTTTGCCCATTTTATGACAAGAATTATTTAGATCTTGTAGGATGGAAAAATTGAAAGTGCCATTTTCTGGCTATTTGGAACCACTGTCGAGTTTGTATTGGGGTCAAGTGGCATTGCAGAAGAAAATAAGGCATTTAGGTTTTAGGTCAGGCGTGAGTTAAAGAGGTTTTTAGGTTTTTAAGAACACAGGCTAAGGGAGAAGAAGGGGGAATGGAGGGTGGAAGGTTGCCCATAGTGAAGGAGGCAAGTTTAAAGAGAAGGGCAGAGACACGGAGGGAAGGGGTTCAGGGGTTCTTACCCTCCAGAAAAGAGGGAAACAGGTCGGGGTGTGGAAATAAGGGGTTGGGGCACAGAGATAAGAGGTCGGGGCACGGAAATAAGGGATTGGGGTGCAGAGATAAGAGGTCAGGGTGCGGAAATAAGGGATCGGGGCACAGAGATAAGAGGTCGGGGCACGGAAATAAGGGATCAGGGGGTTAGAAATAAAACCAGGCTCTGAATTGGCCTTTGGAAACATAAACTCTAGCTAACTATAATTCTATAGTTGTAAAAGAAATATTAATGATACATCTTTTTCTATTGCTCATGTTTGCAAAGAATTTAAAACCTCAAGAATCATATGAAGCTGAAATACAGTAGTCTAGAAAAAAGTATAAACTAGTGTACTTCCTTTTAAATTATTTAATATGTTTAATGATTATAGTAGCATATTTCTAAATCCAGGCATTCATTATTTCAAGATCAGCTAAGAGTCCTACTTAAATCTGATATTAATAATTTATTTCTTCTATAAAAATGATGTCTTTTTCTGTGCTTTCACTGTGTCTTTCATGATGCTATTTGTCACATTGGCATACTGGGTACTCCCCATGTACTGGAGTACACAGGTGTTTACTGATTTTTGTTCTACGCTAGAGATTAACCTCTTTGAGTGTACGTACTATTGCCCTCACAGGTCTGACACTTAGTAACTGTCAGCAGATGTCTCCCAATTGATGGTTTTCATTGTATATATGTGGAATAAAAATCACTTAGTCACAGATATAAAAACCAAGAGTTATAAAAAGCAACTAGTATATTAATGAATATAAAAACAAGAGGATTAATCATAATTAAATTCTTGCTTTTTCAAGGATATCATTCTTTAATGGCATTTCATATATTACCATTTGGAAGAAAAGAGCCCTAATTATTTGGGAATTATATTCAAATAATATAAAACCAAAGAGGTTAAAGTTCTTTATACGTGGATTCATTTTTAGTGATTGTTGAAAAATGGCAGAAAAATGTAGTTCTACCTCACCAGAATAAAACTATAAAATTGAAATGAATCCAAGAATGAACAAATTTTTTTAAGATTGTTGATTTCTTTATGAATTATTTTAAAAATAAAGAGTAACTGAAACTCCATAGAAATTATAAAGAACAACCGTACATACCCAATTCTGTTGCTAAATTTTTGAAATTACTAGAACTTAGTGTCTGTATATCTGAAGTTATGACCTGTGTGGTTAAAAAAAAAGTGTTGTTAAAAGTCAGATATTTTAGTTCACACTTTAACCATGATATGAAGAAATTTGGTAGAAAACAATCATCTCAGATTTTACTTTATGATATTTATATTTTAAGATCATTCTGATTTTACAAAAAAATGTGATAAAGACTCATGTTAAAATTCCAACTAAGGTTTTTTTTTTGACCTTCTTTGTCTATGTTTGTATGAGTTTTGCCATCTGCAGAATGAGTACAATAATAGCAAAAGTCATAGGATTATTTTGATAATTACGCAAACAATAGTTGAAATACGGCTAGCAAAATACTTACGAAAAGCCCAACAGCTTCCCTCTCTTTGAAACATCACTTTTAGGGGAAAAATAACAAGTAATAGCAAAAAATCTGAATATTATAAGAGCTGACTACTTCAGTTCTTATAAATATATAATGTAAATAAATATACTGAATGTTTACATTATTTTAAGATTATAGTTGCTCATAAAATAACAATGTAACTATGTGGTTACATTGCCTATTAGTATTTATCTATTTAACAGAAATCAAGTATTTGAAAATAAGTTTTGTTTGAAAAAAATGCAAATACTATCAGAGAGGTCAGAGTGTTTAGTTACAATGGAATTATTATGAACTGATGGGAAGGAGCCTAAAATAAATGGATAGAGACGAACAAGTGAAATATTTGCTAAATCCTTACTTATGACTAAGGCTGGCTCTACAATAATTCTTAACACTTCTCTCTTTTTTTTTTTTCTTCTAAGGTGCTTTCAGAGAAAATATGGCAATTCAACTGGAGGTATTAAAGTAGTATAAAACCTATTGGTTGGAAAATAAAATTTAAAAACAATGAAGAGGATTTTACATACATAAAGTAAAAAATATATGTGGATAGAGTCATTTGCACACACTCCTGGAAAGATCATTGTGCAATGATCAAATTGTAAATGTATATAACAAACCATCATTTCTTAATTTCTGAAACACAGCAAACATAAAATTATAGAGAAAATAGCTTCATAATTTCAAATATACCCTTCGATTAATTTTGACATTTATCCACTTTTGGCTGAACCCTTCCCAACAAATTTCCTTCTGCTTAATTATTCCAAATAAAAACTTCTAAAAAGTTATCTTACTCATAAATAATTCTGTATGTATCTCAAAAATATGAAGACATGACACAAATTTAGACAGATTAATTAAATGAAACACCAAAACAAAAATATCTATAATTTTTACTTTACTGGATTTTAAAAATATTAATAATTTAAAAAATTAAAAATTAAAGAAAAAATAAATTTAAAATAGCAAAAAAACCCCCTAAAAAATCTCTGTAAAGAGAATGCTAACACAACCCACAGACTGGGGGAGAAGGTATTTGCAAGTCACATATCTTACAAAAAACTTACATCAAAAATTTATAAATATCCAGCTTCCTTAGTACCATTTATTAAAGACACAGTTTCTTCCTAATTGTACGTACTTGTCATCTTTGTGGAAAATCAACTAACTGTAGATGTGTAGATTTGTTTCTGGGGTTTCTATTCTTTTCCATTGCTCCTTTCATCTGTTTTTAAATTTCTTATTATTATATTTTTGTCAGTACCATGCAGCTTGGCTTCTATAGATTTATTCCATGTTTTGAAGTAAGGTAGTCTGATGCCTCTGGCTTTCTTATTTTGTTCAAGATTGCTTTGGCTATTCAGGCTCTTTTGTGATTCCATGCAAATTTTAGATTTTTTTTTTCTATTTCCATGAAGAATGTTACCAGCATTGTGATAGACTTTGGATAGTATAGACATTTTAACAATATTCTTCCAAACTATTAATACAAGATATCTTTCTTTAAGTTTGCATCATCTTCAATTTCTTTCATGAATGGTTTATAGTTTTCATTGTAGAGATATTTTACCTCCTTGGTTGAATTTATTTCTAGACGTTTCATTTGATGTCTTTTTGTTTAATTTGTTAATATGTTGATTCTTCCAGTACATGAGCATGGAATGTTTTATTTAAAATTTGTTTGTGTCATTTATGATTTCTTTTAACAGTGTTCTTTTTGTTGTTGTTGTTCTCCTTGCAGAGATATTTTACCTCCTTGGTTAGAGGTATTCCTAGGTATTTTATCTTTCTTTTTTGTGGCTATTGTGAATGGAATTGCATTCTTGATTTGGCACTCAGCATAATCATTGTTGGTGCACAGAAATGCTACTAATAATTGATTTTGTATCCTGAAACTTTACTAAAGTTGTTTATCAGTCTCTAGGAGCCTATTGGCAAAGTGTTTAGTGCTTTCTAGATATAGAATTGTATTGTTAGCAAAGAGAGATAGTTTGACTTCTTCTTTTCCTATTTGGATGCCTTTTATTTCTTTCTCTTGCCTGATTATTTTGCTAGGACTTCCACCTTTACTCTTAAATAATTGTATTAGTTGGTTTTAGCCCTTCTAGACCTACCTGAATAACTGACACAAGGTGCTTGTCCTAGTCTCGCCTAACGTGTAATTCATTCGGGATAGATAAGCAGTGGGTATTTGTCCAAAACACTATAAGGCAAACAACCCACAGCTACCATGGAAAAAGATTAAAATTGAGATATAGAATAAAGCAAAAAATCTGTGGAGAAAAAGCTGAAAAAAGAGTTGCTTGGAGGAAATTAGAGCATTTAAACTAACCATGTATAATGAAGAATATACAGTGCCACAGTCAGGCCCAGGGCAGGATGTATGTTCTGTAACAGTCTTCAAAAACCCTAAACTTTTACCTGTTTCTAATCTCTAGGCACACTAGAAGCAGAAAATAAAAGGTAAGGCAGAGTTATAAATGACCTAAGTGTGGAAGGTATGTCAGCAGGGAGCCATCAGCAAAAAGTGGGAGAGGTTTTATTTATTTATTTTTTCATTTTCTTCTTTTTTGTTTTTTCTCTCTTTCTTTTATTTTCCTTTCTCCTTTCTTCTTTCCCCCCCACCTCTTTATCTGGCTTCTGAAATTCAAGGAAATAAAGAACACTAGCTTATAGCAAGCAATCAAACAACTCCTGAGGAGGGGAAGACCCTAATTTCCAAATTACCACACTATCATATTTAAAATGTTGATTTTACTTAATTACAAAGGATGAAACAAGAAATACGGCTCATTTATAGAAAAAATTTAAAATACTGTTTCTGAAGAAATATAGACTTTGGACTCACTAAACAATGACTTTAAATCAAGTGTCTTAAATATGTTCAAAGACCTATAGAAAAACAGAAAAATAATGTATAAACAACTAGAGAGTATCAATAAAGAAATAATTATAGTACATGATATACTAATAGATAATGAAATCAAATAGAAATTCTAAAGCTGAAATATTCAAGAGGGACATGAAAAACTTATTAGAGGATTTCAATGGCAGCTTTGAGAAGACAGAAAAAAATACTGAATATTTCTCAACAAGAATACTTTTCATCAAGAAAAATTCATAATCAAATGTTTTCATTGATGAAATTTACCAGATATTCAAGAAGGGAAGTAACACCCATTCTTCTCAAGGTCTTAGAAAACAGAAGAGAATGGAACACTTTCCAATTCATTTTGCAAGGCCATCATTACCCTAATATCAAAGCCAGACAAAGACAACGCACACAAAAATAAATCTATATACCAATATCTGCAATGCATATAGATGTCAAAATTCTCAACAGAATAAATTCAGCAGTATATTAAAAGGGTTATGCATCATGCCTAACTGGGATATATTCCAAGAATGAAAGGGTAGTGCAATATAAGATAATCAGTGCAATGCATGCCATTAACACAATGAAGAAAAAAATATGTGATAATCTCAATTGATGCAAAGAAGGTATTTGGAAAAACCTCTTTCATGATAAAAATTTCCAGGAAACTAAGAATAGAGAAAAAATTCCTCGACACAATAAAGGGTATTCCTCAAGAAACCTATAGTTAACATCATACTCGATGGTGAAAGACAGAAAGCTTTCATTTTTTTTATTATACTTTAAGTTTTAGGGTACATGTGCACAACGTGGAGGTTTGTTACATATATATACATGCGCCATGTTGGTGTGCTGCACCCATTAATTTTAAGATCAACAACAAGACAAAGATTAACAAACAAGACATTTATGGCTAAATGATAGAGAACAAGCAAGACATTTATGGCTAAATGATTTTCAGCATGAGTGCCAAGATTATTCAATGGGCAAAGAATTGTCTTTTCAACAAATTGTACTAGACAACAAGGTATCCACATGCAAAAAAAAAATAATAAATTAGGGCATCTATCTTAAACCATATCAAAAAACTCAAAATGAATTAACAATCTAAACATAATAACTAAAACCATAAGACTCTTAGAAAAAAAAACATAAGGGTAAATCTTTATGACAGTGGATTTGGCCATGTATTCTTAGATTTGACACCAAAAGGATGAATAGCAAAAAAATCAGATAAGTTGGATTCATCAAAATCAAAAATTTTGTTCATTAAAGGATATTATAAAGAAAGTAAAAAGAAACTTATATAATGGGAGAACATAGTTGCAAATTATATATATGATCAGAATTGAATGTCCAGAAAATATCTTACAACTCAACAACCAAAATGCAAAAAGTAAATTAAAAAATAAAACAAGGTCTTTAACAGATTTTTGTCATGAAGATATACAAATAAACAATAAGCACATGAAATGATGCTCAATGTTATTATTCATTAGGGGAAAATGTAGATAAAAACCCATAGTGAGTATCACTGCACACCTACCAGGTGATGATAATAAAAAAACACAAAAGCAAACCAAATGAAAAAGCCACCCAGGAAATAAGAATTGTTGACAAAGACATAGAAAATTGGAAACCTTGTACATTGGCAATGGCAATATAAAATGGTTCCACTGCTAAGAGAAACAGTTTGTCAGCTCCTCATAGAATTACCATATGGCCTAGATAGCCAAATCCTAGATATATATGTAAAATAATTGAAAACAGATACTCAAATACACTTACATGTATGTTCATACTAGCACCATTCATAATAACCAAAAGTTGAAAAAAGCCCAAATTTTAGTCAACTGATGGCCAGACAATCTCACTGTGGTATTTCCATATGATGGAATATTATTTAGTCATTAAAAGGAGTGAAGTACTGATATAGCTGCCACATGGGTGAACTTCAATATGCTAAGTGAAAGTACTCAGACATAAAAGTCATCTATCATATATTATTCTATTGCATGAATTATCCAGAATAGGCAAATCCATAGAGACAGAATACATATTGGTAGTTGCCAGTGTTTACATGGAGGGGAGAATTGAGAGCAACAGTCTAATGGATAAAGAATTTCCTTTTGATGGAGGTGATGGGTTGACAACATTGTGAATATGCTGTCATATAAATGCCACTAAACTGTTCACTTCAAAACAATTTTTTTGTGTGTTTTGTCAATTTTACCTCAATAAAATAAAGTTGAAGTATTTTAAAAAATAATTGTCTCCTTATCAATGCCAACACTGTCAGTCCAGATTAAGCCATCATTCTGTCTTGATTGTGCTATGTTAGCACAATATCCTTCAAGCTGTTCTTTTGCTTTCACTCTTGCCTAACTATAGTGTATCTACAAGCTAGAAGTTACCCCCATTAAATTATATACCTGATGTTGGCATTCTAGCAGGTCTACAATATATTCTCATCATACACACTGTAAGACCTGAAGTCCTAGCCATGACCTCTAAGATCAGATATTACCCATTATCTGTCTTTCTCACTTTCTCCCTTGATCCGTCTACTTCAGGTATACTGACCACTTTGTATTTCTTTGAACATACCAAGGCAACACCTGCCTCAGGAACTGCATCTTGATGTCCTCTTTCCCTGATAGCTTCTTCCCAGAGACACCTGTGTGGCTTACACTCTCAGTTTTTCTGGTCTTTGTTCAGTTGTCCCCCTCAGAAAGGGGTGTTAATTAGCATCCCTCATCACTGTCTAATATTTACCTTAATTTATTGTTTATGTCATTGTACTTACCTCATCTTTCTATGGTATATTCATTTATTCATTTATTTTCTATCTCCTGCTCTGTATGTTTTACATTTGTATCCTCCTTGCATAGGAGAAGGCCTAATACATAGAAGGTATTAAATAAATAAATATTTTTAAGTCAATACATGTATAATATCTATGTTTTAAATAATTACAATATGTTTACAAGCAAGAACATTAGAAGTTGTGAGAGCAATCCTAGACTAGAGATGCACTTCTTATGGTTATTCTACAAATCTTTCTGAACTTCAAATTCTTAATACTGAGGCACATATTTTCCTTTTCAATTCTAATACAGGTAGATGTTTCCTTGTAAGATTTAACACTTTTTGTAATATATTCATAGTTATTCCTTTTTAGAGTAAAAAAACAGATTATATGACTCAGCAAGGTTATTTGGATTTATGCATTATTGTTGCTGTGTTTTTATTTCCTCCTTTTACTTTTTTTTAAAAGCTTACATTTATATGAGGTACAAAAGAAGTTGATGCAAGTATAAAATAGTGATATCTTGAATTTTTATCTTATCTTTGATACCTTTAGAAAAATTTCAACTATACCTTATAAAAAGGAAAAAAAATGAACAAAAAACAAAAATAAATACAATTAATAAGAGCTACTCTTCCTCACTGTTGTTGGAAACTTTCATCTAATGGCAAATATTTAGGACCACCTACTTTGATCATGGAGATGATGACTCCACCCCCTAACAGTTCTGTTGGTGGAGTAAAATAACTAAGGAGGTTATCAGGGCCATAGAAACCTTTATGATCTACCAATTCTTGCATGCCTATGGAGACTCATTCAGTTCAGCTACTCCTCAACACTGTAAAAGAAAAAGAACTCATCTGAGGATCTTACAGATGAAGAAATCTTTTGTGGAATTTTCTGCAATTCCTCATTTCACACCAGACCATGGTGAGTGGAGCTGGATGGACTGTATAATAAGGTGCACTGCTCTCTGATAGAAACTTTCATAAAGAAGAAAAGTTACTGATGAAAGCCAGTGGATTGCGTGTGTGTGCACTAGTGAGCAGTTGAGATTTCATCTCATTTTCAGTGCCTGTAGAATGAAGGACAACAGGGGAGCAGGCCACAAACCTGAACTCCCTCTGCTCCTTCCCTGAAAGTGAGGAAAGAGCATCAAAGGGAATGAAAGTGACTGAATATCCAACAGGAAAGTATTGTATGTTCTTGCTTTGGGTCACAGTCGTGGTTTGCATCATAAAATAAGAGCTTCCTAATATAACATTTATGAACTCCTTAGTCCTTGGGTATACATTGAGAAGTTGTGAAGAATATTTATATGTGTTGAGAGTGATTATTAGCTGTGGATCATTTAATGTTATCCTTTGTAATCTGAGGGGTGAGGATTACATTTTAAACTGTAATTTTTGCATTAATTATTTTTCCCTTTAACTATATTTGAAAGTCTTTTCCCTTCATAATTAAACCTAGAAAAGGTATCTATGACTGTCTATGACTCAAAGCAGTTACTTGCATTACCTGAAGAAAGCAGTGCCAGGGAATTGTTTATTTAAAGAACACTATATTATTATTTGTAAGTTAAGAGTTCTAATCTTTCATAGTTTTTATTAAGTAAACATAATCAAATAATGTATTAATTGAAGCATGGGATTAACATAAACTAGCTCAGAATTTTAAATATCCTATTTGATAAGATATGATGAAATATTTCTTTTCAAATTGCTCACAAGATAGCTCCTTGGATTTCACTGAGGTTAGGTCTATGACACCACTAGTTTGAGTTATTACTTAAAATTATTTTTCTAGCTTAAATTCACACAGTATAAATAAAATGCCTCCAAAGTATTTTGGCTAGTTTAGCACAGTCAATGTTTCTATTTTTTATAAAAATTGAATTATTGGAAACACTTCGTATTTTGGACATCTGATTTCTCCACCTTGACCCCTCCTCTTCTCTGCTACCACTGGTTTTCACTTCTAAAATATTTTGCATTTGTCATCTAAACAGCTGTAATAGGTCAGCTCTTTGAGGCTCAGTGTTCCAAATTCAGGTTTTAATCTTTACATTTTCTTGGGCAAGTGTCAGGGAAACTCCAGCAGAACTCAAGAGGAATCTGTCTGGAATTCTCCTGTGACTTTGTTATGGGTTAAAAAAATTATTTTAATTTCTTGGCTCTGATAATTACAAAAGGGAAGACAAAATATGATAATTTGCCAAAATACCAAATCTATGCCTTTGGTTTTTTTTTAGTGTCAAAAGTGAGTTAAGATTGATAGAGATTTAACGGTTTAATTAATAAAGGTTTTAGTATAATTACTTCAATTATGTTAGCTTATGTAAATATTTCAAACAGAAAACAGTTACATAGCAACAAAATCCTGGTTTGCTAATTAGTAAGACAATTCAGAGGAAACATATTTTCAATTAGGTATAAAGCTAAATTGGATTATATTCTGAATGAATTGGACATGTTCAGATTTTATTCAGATGACCCAGTACAAGCAAAATAGAAGTATTCCATGTATTTTCAAGTATTACTTGAAACGCTGCATTCATGCTGCTTCTGGCTAGCTAGTTGAGGCTGGAATTATTTAATCTAGAAGTATCATTTTCTCTTACAGTTCAAATTGCACTATATACACAGATGTTTACTCCAGTTTTCTAGCTAAACCAGAGAATAGGAAGGGAGTGCAAATGAGCTTGTATTTGTAATTGCATTCTCTCCTGTGATCATTAAATGTGCTTTATCTTTAACATGCTAAAATGCTAAGGTATCACAAGGGAGTACTAACTCCAGATTTAACCTGCTAAATTTGAGAAAGCCTACAGATTTGCACTTTAAGTCTTCCTGCAAGAGTCTGTATTCAATGTTATTTTCCAACAGTTATTGGAAAGTTTTATCAGCAGAAATCCAGATACATTATTTCACCTTTTACATAAGCTATGGCCCATGTTCTGTATTTAGAAATTTTGACTGTCATTATCAAATAAAATATACAGTATAAACATGTTTTCTTTACATCTAATTTTAAGTTCCAAAACTCAACTGAGACATGGAAAATATTGATGGTTCATTAAAAAGAAAGAAAATAAAAAATGAGAATAGAAAATATGTCTGGTGATGAATAGTTTTGAGAGAAATTTAAACCCTCTCCCGTATTTCATGAACATGGTCTGGGTAGTAATGATCAGCTGTTTGACTTTTATACAGAGTGTAAGAATTAAATAAACTTAACTATGAGGAATACAAGTCAGAATTTAGGTCCATGAAAGACACAATCAATTTATAGGATGCTTAAACTAATCTAGATGCCTAAATTAACCAACAATACATTTCTTGAAGAGGGGAGCTATATTTAAATTTTTAGTGTGTAGCAAAATGACTATAGTGTCATCAATTTTTAAATATCTGTTAACTACAGGAATAAGAAAAATAAATACTTGTTAATACTCCAATTACTTCCCAGATTAAGAGATTTGTTTCTCTACAACAAATATTTGTACCTACCTTGCTCTGAGAAACAGCCTGCACTGTGAACTCATTTTATCAACAACAAGACTGCTTAAAAGCAGGAAGAAAAAGCCATAAAAAATGATGAGTTCACGTCCTTTGTAGGGACATGGATGATACTGGAAATCATCATTCTCAGTAAACTATCGCAAGAACAAAAAACCAAACACTGCATATTCTCACTCATAGGTGGGAACTGAACAATGAGAACACATGGACACAGGAAGGGGAACATCACACTCTGGGGACTGCTGTGGGGTGGAGGGAGGGGGGAGGGATAGCACTGGGAGATATACCTAATGCTAGATGACGAGTTAGTGGGTGCAGCGCACCAGCATGGCACATGTATACATATGTAACTAACCTGCACATTGTGCACATGTACCCTAAAACTTAAAGTATAATAATAATTTTAAAAAAAAAAGAAAAAGCAATCATTCTAGCCGGGCTGATTACAGAAAGCACTTAATTTCTTGGGATCCTGAAAAGCTGTGTCTGGTTGTCTAGTTTTCTACTCTGTGTTTCGTTTCCTACTACTGCCTTTTTAGTTTGTTTATTTGGACGGTTGGTTGGTTTTGTGCTTAGCTTCCTCTAAATAAGAAAGTCTATCTGAGCTTGTGTAAGAGTGCTGCACTTCTGCCTGTGTTCTCCGGCTTAGATATCTACAACCTGACATTGGTCCATTTACCCTGAGCACATAACTTTTAACATATATTTAGCATCCAATTGGCTTCAGCCTTCTCCTGCACAAATTGTACCTTTGAAGCGAATGATGACAGTGTCCATTCAACTGGGTCCTGAATCCTCTCCATATGTTGCAGGTTGGTTTCATGGCCTATGTTCTAAGCTAACCCATCTCAGTATAAAATAGCTATACAGGCCCGGCGTGATGGTTCACGCCTGTAACCCCAGCACTTTGGGAGGCCCAGGCGGGCGGATTACCTGAGGTAGGGAGTTTGAGACCAGCTTGGCCAACATGGAGAAACCCCATCTCTACTAAAAATACAAAATTAGCTGGGTGAGGTGGCGCAGGACTGTAATCCAAGCTACTTGGGAGGCTGAGGCAGAAGAATCGCATGAACTTGGGAGCCGAAATCACGCGGTGAGCTTCCAGTGAGCCGATCACGCCATTACACTCCAGCCTGGGCAATAAGAGGAAACTCCGTCTAAAAAAAAAAAAAAAATCTGTACATTTCCTAATCTATAGGAACCAAATTGGACCCTTAACTTGATCCTATCTCCAAATTATTCAGCTGCCTCAGCTGAGTTTTCTCTACAATTGTTCCTTGCTTATCACACTGTACTCTTTCCATAATTGATTCTGATAATGATTTTGAGAGTAGCCCTTATTTTCTTAATGAAAAGTTACTCAGAAGCAGTTTTATAAAATACATATGTATGAATCATTCCACATAAATTGTTTTAAAGTATTGCTTTTAAAAAATAAATCCATTTTATTAAGGATTTTTGCATCAGTGTTCATCAAGGATACTGGTCTAAAATTCTATTTTTTGGTTGTGTCGGGCTTCATCCCTGGGATGCAAGGCTGTTTCAATATATGCAAATCAATAAATGTAATCCAGCGTATAAACAGAACCAAAGACAAAAACCACAAGATTATCTCAATAGATACAGAAAAGGCCTTTGACAAAATTCAACAGCCCTTCATGCTAAAAACTCTCAATAAATTAGGTATTGATGGGATGTATCTCAAAATAATAAGAGCTATCTATGACAAACTCACAGCCAATATCATACTGAATGGGCAAAAACTGGAAGCATTCCCTTTGAAAACTGGCACAAGACAGGGATGCCCTCTCTCACCACTCCTATTCAACATAGTGTTGGAAGTTCTGGCCAGGGCAATCAGGCAGGAGAAGGAAATAAAGGGTATTCAATTAGGAAAACAGGAAGTCAAACTGTCCCTGTTTGCAGATGACATGATTGTATTTCCAGAAAACCCCATTGTCTCAGCCCAAAATCTCCTTAAGCTGATAGACAACTTCAGCAAAGTCTCAGGATACAAAATCAATGTACAAAAATCACAAGCATTCTTATACAGCAACAACAGACAAACAGAGAGCCAAATCATGAGTGAACTCCCATTCACAACTGCTTCAAAGAGAATAAAATACCTAGGAATTCAACTTATAAGGGATGTGAAGGACCTCTTCAAGGAGAACTACAAACCACTGCTCAATGAAATAAAAGAGGAGACAAACAAATGGAAGAACATTCCATGCTCATGGGTAGGAAGAATCAATATCGTGAAAATGGCCATACTGCCCAAGGTAATTTATAGATTCAATGTCATCCCCATCAAGCTACCAATGACTTTCTTCACAGAATTGGAAAAACTACTTTAAAGTTCATATGGAACCAAAAAAGAGCTCCCATCTCCAAGTCAGTCCTAAGCCAAAAGTACAAAGCTGGAGGCATCACACTACCTGACTTCAAACTATACTACAACACTACAGTAACCAAAACAGCATGGTACTGGTACGAAAACAGAGATATAGATCAATGGAACAGAACAGAGCCCTCAGAAATAACGCTGCATATCTACAACTATCTGATCTCTGACAAACCTGAGAAAAACAAGCAATGGGGAAAGGATTCCCTATTTAATAAATGGTTCTGGGAAAACAGGCTCGCCATATGTAGAAAGCTGAAACTGGATCCCTTCCTTACACCTTATACAAAAATTAATTCAAGATGGATTAAAGACTTAAACGTTAGACCTAAAATCATAAAAACCCTAGAAGAAAACCTAGGCAATACCATTCAGGACATAGGCATGGGCAAGGACTTTATGTCTAAAACACCAAAAGCAATGGCAACAAAAGCCAAAGTTGACAAATGGGATCTAATTAAACTAAAGAGCTTCTGCACAGCGAAAGAAACTACCATCAGAGTGAACAGGCAACCTACAGAATGGGAGAAAATTTTTGCAACCTACTCATCTGACAAAGGGCTAATATCCAGAATCTACAATGAACTCAAACAAATTTACAAGAAAAAAACAACCCCATCAAAAAGTGGGTGAAGGATATGAACAGACACTTCTCAAAAAAAGACATTTATGCAGCCAAAAAACACATGAAAAAATGCTCATCATCACTGGCCATCAGAGAAATGCAAATCAAAACCACAATGAGATACCATCTCACACCAGTTAGAATGGTGATCATTAAAAAGTCAGGAAACAACAGGTGCTGGAGAGGATGTGGAGAAATAGGAACACTTTTACACTGTTGGTGGGACTGTAAACTAGTTCAACCATTGTGGACGTCAGTGTGGTGATTCCTCAGGGATCTAGAACTAGAAATACCATTTGACCCAGCCATCCCATTACTGGGTATATACCCAAAGGACTATAAATCGTGCTGCTATAAAGACACATGCACATGTATGTTTATTGTGGCACTATTCACAATAGCAAAGACTTGGAACCAACCCAAATGTCCAACAATGATAGACTGGATTAAGAAAATGTGGAACATATACACCATGGAATACTATGCAGCCATAAAAAAGGATGAGTTCATGTCCTTTGTAGGGACATGGATGATATTGGAAATCATCATTCTCAGTAAACTATCTCAAGAACAAAAAACCAAACACCACATATTCTCACTCATAGGTGGAAATTGAACAATGAGAACACATGGACACAGGAAGGGGAACATCACACTCTGGGGACTGTTGTGGGGTCGGGGGAGGAGGGAGGGATAGCTTTAGGTGATATACCTAATGCTAAATGACGAGTTAATGGGTGCAGCACACCAGTATGGCACATGTATACATACGTAACTAACCTGCACATTGTGCACATGTACCCTAAAACTTAAAGTATAATAATAATAATTAAAATCAGATTTATTAATAAAGTTTTACAGTGATATAATTGAGTGGATTAAAAGGGGGTTGGTCCCAGTAGGGTTTATGCATAGCCTACTGTTCATACACAGAAAGACACTTCTTTCACAGTGCACAGATATTGTGAGTTGATACTCTAAGAATTAAAAGTATTAGATGTGTGGGTTATTTGCCTGTCGGTTCTCATATACTATACCTTTACTTGCTCTTTGCATTAGTTTTCTATTGTCACTATAACAGATTACCACAAATTTAGTGGCTTAAAATACAAATAAATTTGTTATCTTGCAATTTTGGAGTTTACTGTTCTAAAATAGTCATCACACTGGGCTAAAATCAATGTGTTTGTAGGGCTACGCTCCCTCTGGACACTCTAGGAGAGATTATGTTTCCTCGACTTTTCCAGCTTCTAGAGGCTGTCTGTATCCCTAGCCCTGGTGGGCCTCCTTCCATCTTCAAAGCCAGCAACAGTGAGTTGAACCTCTACTTGCTCAATTCAAACTTGTTTCTTTCCTTGTATCTTCTCTGTCTCTAAGTCTTCTGCATGACTCTTCCACATCTGAAGAAATCTGGTGATTATATTGAGCCCTACATATGATCCAAGATACTTTTCTTATTTTAAAGACAGCTGATTACAAATGTTAATTTCATCTGCAATCTTAATTCTCCTTTGCTATTAAACATAACATATTCACAAGTTCTGGAGTTTAGTATGTGAACCTCTTTGGGGTATGGTAGGAATACTATTCTATCTGCCACATTCCACTTTGCATTGCAATCAAGCATATTTCTGTTCCCTTGCGAAGTATTTCAAGCTAGTTTCAGCCACTAGCTGGCACTAAGAGGAGGTTGGAGATCGAGAAGAAGGAAGCTACTGATTATTCCTTTGCTCGGCCAATGTATCAAGCTACAGTTACATCTCCTCTCATTCCACATTAGTGTTCTCAGCAATTGTATTAACTTTGTTAAAAATATCCCTTGCATTGACTTGCATCTATTTAAAATTTGACCTACAAGTCAATTAACAATGAAGACAAGATTAATGGGATGTTGTACCATCTTACTGGGAAAAGTTTACCAAAAGTATATTATGAGCACAGGGGCATAAACTTCTCTTTCGAGGAAAGAATAGAGAACCACAGTGCCTATATCTTTTAAAAAATCTCTAATTTTTTTCTTTTTAAAAATATCTGATCATGCATTGCTGAAGAACAAAACAAAAATTAAGCTAATGGGTAGTGTGAGCAACTTGCAAGTCAAATTCACAGTCTGACCAAATGTTAAGATTAGGGCATTAATTGGAAAGGAGAGGGAACCTAAGATTTGAGCTGGCAAACTTAGGCCAGATTTAGAGAAATCTGAGAACGTTGAATCCTCAAACCTTCAATGCAGGAATTGCCTAGCAAGGAGATGCATCGTCTCAGGATCCATTCCCAGTATTCCTTGTTGCTTCTAGATTCATTGAGTGAGATAGTCTCATGTCTAGCAGATCTTTAAGATGTCTTAGATGTCAAAAATGTTGCAAAATCTTGCTAACGTTCATAAGCAGGAATACAAGAAGTGTAAAGGCTGATTTAAGAATTGTCAGGCTTAATATGTTCATAAAAACGCACTTACCAGAGTTTTGCTTTTAATGTGCTTGCTCAGATAATGGAAAGTGGCTCTAACCATCTGAATAAAAATGTAGATTCAATGGTAGCCTATAGTCAATTAGATCAAAATGCCAGAACTTCTCTGCCATTATGAAAAAAAAAAATCCAAAGACTAAGACAATAAGAATGCTATTTAGAGTTATTAAGTTGTACCCATTCATTCTCTCCCACTACCACTTTCCACTAACTTTGCTAACCAGAGGGCCCAGAGGACTCTTCCTTACAAATACATTGAGAAACACACTAATCTGGGAGTACCATCAGCTTAAAAAATTACTTATCTATATTACGGGAAAATTTTTTAGTCTGGTTAGCAAAAATCCCACTGGGGTAACTACAATTGGAAGTAATTATCTGTCACTCATTTTCCAGGTCTAAACCAATTCATACATTGGTTCAATACAATACAATTCAACACATACTGTGTTGAAATACAGTTCTCCATGGGGTCCCTCATTTTTTGGCAAGTCTTTTGAGCAGAGACATAGACAACTTTTGTTTTGGATCTTTATTAAGATGTTTATAAGACAAGCAACACTGAAAGATAAGTAAAGTCTCCTCTAGGACAGACGGAGATATTTTTCCCCATAATAAAGATAATGTCTTTTTCTGGGGCAAAGGTTGGGCAGGTTTGCTTGCAACCCATTGTGAAAGATTGGGGTATTTTAAGTTTGGTGTTTTTTAGTTGAGATGCAAACCCACTGCAGGCAAAGCATCTATGTTGGTGGCTCTGCAATGCTCTGTGGGAACTGTGGGCAAGGGAAACCAATGCAGATATTAAGCTTATGTTTTCTGCCTGTCTTTGAGTAATAAAATTATTTTTCCCTGATTCAGGAGTCTCTTGTCTTTTGCCAACATCCATGAAACTTTAGCAATTTAAATTATGAGCTTGCAAACAGGATACAAACTTTGATTCCTCACATTGCTTGGCAACCTGAGATTTCTGTGATTGAAATGAGCACTCAGTTCTCTTGATAAAAGGGTATATAGGTTATATGCTGCAAGTCTTCCTTTGATTATTTATAGGTTACCAGAGGGCTTATGGTGATGAGGTGCTAAGTAGAATTTTGGCCCAGGTGAATCTTGGAGTAGGCCCAGTAAATTCTCAAACCACCATATATATATATATATATATATATATATATATATATATATATATATATGTTTTCAGTTCATTAATGCCTCATTGACATTGTTATTTGGAAACCTGCAGAATCCTCATATTGGTCCCCCGACCTGACAGGGCTGTAGATGGCAAGAAAAACTAAGGGTAAATTCTTATCACAGCATCTTATTATCAAATAGCAAACCGTATGTGTCACATTCTTGAGATAATTGCACCAACTTGTACCATTAAAAAAGACTTGAAAGATGCAGGAATATGGATTCAAATAATATTATAATGTAAGCTGTTGTTCAGAGGTGCAAAACCAAATAGATCTTTAACAATGAAAATCAACGTAAACTGAAATCTGGAGGTCATTGATATATTGGAGCAAATTCATTTCTCTATTAAGCAAATTTTTAAAAACCAATTGTTAAGTAGGGCCATTAATATACCTTCAATGACATACATTCATGCTTTATCAGAATTCGTGCTTTCTGACAATATTAACTAAATATATCTGAATATACATCTATTATGGGTTGAATTATGTCTTGGAAAAATATATGTTGAAGTCCCAGTTCTCAGTTCAACAGAATGTGATATTATTTGGAAATAAGATCATTGCAGGTTAATTAGTTATATTAATTAGTTAATTAGTTATATTAATATAGTTAATTAGTTAATGAGGTTATACCGAAGTCAAGTGGTCCTCGGCCAATATGACTGGTGTCCCTGTAAGAAGACAGCCATGTGAAGACAGAGTCACAGGCAGAACTTGATGTGAAGATGGAGGCAGAGATGTGATGCATTTATAAGCCCAGAAATCCCAAGGAGTGCCAGCTAATACCAGAAGCTAGAAAAAAAAGGCATGGTCTAGATTTTCCCTTGGTGCCCTTGTAAGGAACCAATCCTACCCTCTACCAACATCGTGACTTCTAGCTTTGAAACGTGTGAGGCAATAAATTTCCATTGTTTTAAGCCACTATTTTGTGGTACTTTGTTATCTCAGCTCGAGGATACTAATGCACAACCTCACAGAATTTCAAGCTGATTTACTCTTTTAAGGAGCTCATGCTACTCAGACTTGTTGAGCAGGAAGCAGCACATACCCTAAGATGCTTTAATAAGACGCTTATATGACAATAAAATCCAAAAACATCAAGAGATAGGCACATTGATGTAGTTTTTGGTGAAACAGTTTGATTAAGGTGAAGCATGGAAGCTGACAAGTATTGGAAATATTGTAATTTATATTATAAATTTATATAAGAATTTATACAAGAATTTTATAAGAATTTATATTCTTACATAAAAAAAGAAAATTGATCTTATTTTTTACAACAGTGTATTCTTTTTAGAATACAGTTTTTTCATACATTAGTTCTATTTCTTATGTTTCTATTACTTTTTTAATACTTACTATTTTACTTTATTTTTGAGACGTACATATACATATTTTTAAAGGCACTGACCTAATTGACACGGCAACGAGACTGTCAGAGAATATTTAAAAAAAACACTGGCCAGGTGCTGTGGGTCACACCTGCAATCCCACCACCCTGGGAGGCAGAGGCGGGTGGATCACCTGAGGTCAGGAGTTCAACCAGCCTGGCCAACAGAGCAAAACACTGCCTCTACTAAAAATACAAAAATTAGCCAGGTGTGGTGCATACCTATAGTCCCACCTACTTGGGAGGCTGAAGCAGGAGAATCACCTGAGCCTATTTCTATACTAGACTAAGAGATTGTAATATTCTAAAATATTAACCATACTTTCCTATTAAGTAATAAACAATACTTACTATATGCTTGGTGTTTAACTTTTTAGATTAAACAAGTATTTTAATGTTTCAAGGATTTCTATTATGTATACAAGTAATTAATACTTGTTGATGAGTTGTTTCTACTTTCAAGTTTTAAAGGTATTAAGGTTGAAATATTATAAAAGGATTGCAAAATTTATGCAATAAAGCAGACATTTTTATAAAAGAAAGGATGGAAGATTTAAGTAAGATATTGAAAGGCACATTTACAAATGTAAACAGTTGTATCTGAGAAGAGTTTGTAGGTATGTGACTGTCTGAGAGTGTTGGGTCCAAACCTAAGCAAAGTATTTATCCTGGCAGAATCTCTTTGCCTCTTATTATGGCCTGAAAGCAGCACTTTAAAATCCTCTGTAGGTTTGTAAGAGGTCACTCTCTCCTCGACTTTCAAGTAGGACAAGAGAAAGCAAGTTCTAAAGAACAGGTTGACCCCTGACCCTGAAAACATCACTGTACTGATTAGGAACAGAAGTTGTTTCTTTTCAGGGAAGAAAATACTTCTTTTGGTATCCTCATTTTATTTTTCCTGGAGGCAAACCTAGATCAAATTTTGAGAAATCTATAACTCTGTAATTCTATTATTTAAATTCCAATTATAAAGGTAGAATAGATTAGGTAGAGAAATGTCATTCCTTGCTCAGGGCTACATTAGAAATCCCTGTCACAGGTAGAATTGGAACACAAGCCTCTCCCACAGTATTAACAGTCACATTTCTATCTATCACATTCTTTTACTTACCTAAAACAGCTTTTTTGCATTTTTAAATAATACATATATTTTAAAGGGTAAAACCTACCGATGTATAATCTCATTTTCCATGTCTTATAAGCCAGACCGCTCTCCACAGTCTCATAAATGATGAGAAAAATTCTTCAAATCATGATACCATGAATTTATTGTCCTCAAAAGAAGGATTCCTCATGCTAAAAGCAGGTGCACCGGTGTGAATATGTGGCTGTCCCATATTGAGGAGCCATATATTTCACAGTTAGGCTCTACACAGAGAAATAAACAGCCATATGGCAAACAAACTTACTTTTTACTGCTTCATTTTATTTGTTTCAAAATAGTGCAGTGCCACAAATCCAGAATATTAACAACGCTCCATCTGGAGAAATGTAAGTTTTGGAGCCCTGAACCAGCACGTTAGCATTCCCACAAAACTTCCGATCTTCAATCCACTGCAAACTTGGAACCAGCTTTATGTCAACCCAGCATGTCTTTCTAATGCAATGCTAGTGGCTCAATTAAAATGTTTATAAAATGAAAAAAAAAAAAAAAAACCTTAATTCTGGAAAGATTTTAAAAGTCGGCCTGCTTGCATACACGTCTAATAGACTGTGTTACAATGTTTATTAATAAATATCTTTGTAAATGTAGTTAGCTTTATCTCTATTTTGCAAATGAGAAAAAGGAACATAGAACTGCCTGGATACAAATGTCTGATCTGCATTTAGAAACCTAGCTTTTTAGATTAGAAATAAATGACTGATGCTTGCTTCACTAGTTCAACAAAAATTTATTTATGTTTTCTAGGCAGAGTACAGGATAACAAAATGAACAAAAGGTGGCTTACCATCTCAGGAAATTTTACTTAACATAAATATTTATAATAGATTGCAGAGGATCCAATTTCTGTCCGATACATGCTTTATTCAATGATAAGTTAAAGGCACTAATTGGTGGCTATGTAGTTCTTTTATTTTTTTTTTATTTTCTTTTTTTTTATTTCTTTTTTTTTTTTTTTTTTTTTTTGAGACGGAGTCTCACTCTGCCGCCCAGGCTGGAGTGCAGTGGTGCCATCTCGGCTCACTGCAAGCTCCACCTCCCGGGTTCACGCCATTCTCCTGCCTCAGCCTCCCGAGTAGCTGGGACTACAGGCTTCGGCCACCAAGCCTGGCGAATTTTTTTGTATTTTTACTAGAGACGAGGTTTCACCGTGTTAGCCAGGATGGTCTCGATCTCCTGACCTCGTGATCCACCCGCCTCGGCCTCCCAAAGTGCTGGGATTACAGGCGTGAGCCACGGCTATGTATCTCTTTACTTGCCTATTGGAAAGAAGAATGTGGAAGTTACAGAATTAGGGCAGGAAAATAAGTAACAATCAAATGAAATTCAGGGTTATTATTTAGGAAAAGCCCTAGCGCATATTGTCATATTGTTAAATATGCTAACATATATAGTAGTATATATGTGTATATATATACACACACACACATATATATGCTAGTATATATATATGTTAGTATGTATGCTAGCTAGTGTGTATATATATATATATATATATATATATATATAGCCTAGGTATGTTTTATATATGTATATATATATATATAATATAGATATATGTTTTTGTTTTGGTTTGAAATATTTTAAAGATATTAATTGTAAAGAATTACCAACAATGCATAAAATATACACATAATTTGATAGATGTTTGAAAATGAATGTGCATGTAACAATCTGTTCATGTGCTTGTACCTGTAACATAGGTTCAGAAATAGAACATTGGCAGCAATGCAGAGCCGCTGTGTGTCCCCTTTTTTTTTTTTTTTTGAGACAGAGTCTCACTCTGTCTTCCAGGCTGGAGTGAAGTGGCGCAATCTTGGCTCACCGCAACATCCGCCTCCCTGGTGCAAGCGATTCTCATGCTTCAGCCACCATGTAGCTGGGATTACGGGTGTACGCCACCACGTCCTGCTAATTTTTGTATTTTTAGTAGAGACGGGGTTTCGCCATGTTGGCCAGGCTAGTGTGGAACTTCTGGCCTAAAGTGATCTGCCCACCTCAGACTCCCAAAATGCTGTGACTACAGGCGTAAGCCACTGAGCCCAGCCTGTCTATGTGTCCTTTTGTGATCCCAAACTTTTTTTTACAAAATGCCAGAAGGAAAAATTAAACTTATCATTATTTCCATGTTGTTTTATCTTATGTATCAGTACTTACATTTTCATTCCTAAATGATAGTTTAGTTCCCAGAATGACATTTTCCATAAATGTCAGATAGTAAATATTTTAGTCATTGCAGGTCATAGGTCTCTGTAACAGCTACTAGGCACTGCCATTGCAGTACAAAAATAGCCATAGAATGATAGGCAAAAGTATGAATGTATCTGTACACCGTACAACAACTTACAGAAACAGATGTAAGGCCAGATTTGATTCAGGGCCCATAGTTTCTGACTCCTACTTTGGTTTTCTCTGCTTTTCAGTTTTATATAAACATAATTAAATCTTACTATTTTTGGTTTTTAGCTTTTGTTTGTCTCACTTTTGTTTGTAAAATATGATCATTTAACTTGCAGTTTGTTCATTTTAATTGTCTTAATATTTCATTGTATGAATATTCCATAATTTGTTTTTCTCATTGTACTGTTGATGAATGTTTGAGTTGTTTAAAGTTTCTGGTTATTTTATTGCTGCTGTAAATTTTCTCATATAGGCATCCAAATCCACATGTGAGTGAATTTTAAAAGCATATATACTTATTAATATTATGAATATAATTATTGGGCCATAGGGTATGTGCAACTTCAAATATACTTGATAATGCCAGTCTATTTTCCAAAGTGGCAAAATTGACTGGCACTATTCACCAAAATGGTATATGGGTTCCATTTATTCCCTATCCTTATATATGTATTCAATTTGGGGTAAATTTTCTGTGAGCGCTTGAAAATACAGTTTGCATAATATATCATTTTTAATCCCATTACTTTTACTCATTTTGTATTTTGTATTTTATATTTGTCTCTTGTAAGTAACATGTTGTTGGTATTTTTTTTTCCAATATAAGCATGAGTATCACTAAATGGAACATTTAGTACATTCATCTGTAGTGCCATAGGTTCTTTGTTTATTTTATTTCACCTGTTTTGCTCAGCTTCTAGTAATTTTAAGTTTGGGAGAATAAGAGTATCTAATTCTTGCTCATGTTTAAAAAAGAGTGGTCACTTTATTTCTAGGTTATTGTCAAGAGGGCTTCCTAAGATGTTGAATTTTTGTCTCACTTTGAACCTTGATGTAAACTATGGGTAAATGCCCTCAAGACAAAAGATACTTTATTTCTTTGATTTAATACTTATCTCTCTAGGTAAGTTTATCCTCTTGTTTTGGCCTAGACTCTTTCTATCATCAGTTTAACTATGCAATGCTGTTTAGAACTGTTTTTAATATTTTATCTAGAATTTTTCCTTTTTTTTTTTTTTTGGCAGTTTGATTCAAATAATCCTGTCAATTATCACTGGAAAAAAAAACAAAGTCCAGAGAAAAACCTTATATGTAAATTTTAGTAGGTATATGGTAACCATGGGAAAAATTAGAAAAAAAATTATACAATTTATGATATAAACTATAAAAGGAGTTCAATATATTCTTCATTTATCAAAATGAAATAATGAGAAAATTTTCCATAGGTTACTAATAAGCCCAAGGAGATTACAAAATTAAAAACTCAAGAAAAACAAAATAAGTGTTGGAAAGTTGTGGAGTACAATAAAATTGCTACTTGCTTACAAGAAAAAAATTATTAAAAATAAGGCCAGCTTTGAGTTCCCCTGAACGTGCCTAAACATGTTAGAAAGAAGTACCCAGATCTAGTCTCAACTTTCCTCAGAATTTCTTTTCGTTGGAAAAAACTAAGAGAAAATTTCCCAGTGAGAACTTTGTATTGATCTTTGGCAAGTACACTAGGTAAAATCCATATGGAGCAAGAAATAGGTGAGCTTTGTAAAAATATGTAAGGCAAAATATGGAATATTATCCATACTAATACCAAACATATAAATAATTAAAATATTTACTAATCAAGATACTAACACCAAGCATATAAATAATTGAAATATATTTATCACATAAATATTAACATTATTTTCAACAAATAGGGAAAGGGAACCTGACAAATCCATGGTCCTCAAGGCAATTTAATTTGGATGTTCCATGATGTGTGAGGAAGGGAGTGGTAGTAAAAGAGCCTGGGCAATTAGGTGAAGGCAGATACAATTAGAAGGTCATTTAGAAAGTTTAGTTTTGGTAGTTAGAGGTCTGTCTGAGACTGAAGGAATGAAAGCTAGTTAAATGTCATTGTTCCAGAGAGTTAAGGAGAGCTGCACAGGAATGAAGCTGAAAGAACGTGTTTCTTCACAAAGCAGATAAAATCAAGTTTAGTTTCCTCAAAAACCTACAGAGGAGAAAGAGAAAATAGACAATCAACTCCCATGGCTGAAATTATCTAGAGATACCACTCTGTTCTTAAAGCACCTGTGAATCTTCCTCTTTTGGCTTAAGCAGAGTTACTTGGAGAAGAGGCTATATCGATCATTGGTCCCCAAGACGAATGAAGACAAATTCAACAGCAGTGTAAAACTAGAAAAGAATACTATGATTACTTAAGAACAACAGAAAAAAAATGGACCACTTTTGTTAGTTAAGATAAACCTAAGTTGAAGAGTTACGGAATAGTTTACGGAATCACCAAGCTGAAAAAAGGACAGGATTGTGCTAAACCTCAGGAACACATGGACTAGAGGTGCAAACTCTATTAAGACCCACATTCTCTAGACTTTGCTTTTTCTCTGCATGATGGTTACCTTTTCCATTCTAGACATGGCTAAAAAACCAGGCCTTTAAAGTCCTCCAATCTTTACATCTTACAACTTTGATATCTGGGAAAAGGATTGTCTCACCTCATTCGGCCCCACTCTTAAAATCCAGGGAAAGGAACTGGCATGTGGGAGCATAGAAAAACATTTTCTATATGGATAAAGAAATTGTATTTAAGAACAATGTGGGAGAAGTGGGTGCAGTGACAGACATACAGGCCTGTAAATATTTACCACACAAAAATCCCTCATAATTAGCGTGCTAACTCATGAGGTTGGGTTTGTAATACTCTAACTAAAGGTCAAACAATAAACAACTGATATTATTTAACAGCTTACTATGTGCCACATTTTCTGAGAGTTTCAGATTTTTCATCTCATTTACTCTTAATAGAAATCCTAGGCAATAGAAACGATTCGTATCACACTTTGAAAATGAAAACAAACAAAGACACTGAGAGGTTAAATAACTTGTCAAAGGTCACATAACTGTGAGGCTAACATTTTAACTCAGGTAGTAAAATGTGTGAATTAAAAGGAAAGATACAAGCATTTTGTCAGTCTAAGAAGGATATTTTTGTCAGATGATTCTCTGCAATGTTTGACCATAGGTACAAAACTATTGGATAATCTTATGCAGGTATTAAACAATTGAAATGAGGAAATTTTCGAAACCTTTCTGCTATTTAGCTCTGGGTTTTTGAAACACTGAAACATAAGACTAGAATTAGAGTAAAACTAACACATTTTTAAAGTAACAGATATAAGTTTAATAGATGTAATTTACTAAGTAAAAGAGTCAAAATTCCATTATCACAAAAATGAACAATGATTTCCTGAAGTAAAAGCTGATGAGAGGCACTCATTTGATGTCCAGTACTTTGCCCGTTGTTCCTCCCATTGTAAACGCAGGCATACACAATTATGAAGGAAATAAGCTGAGACATTTACAAGTACAGGAAATTTGCATCCACCATATATATTAAGGAAATAAACTATTAAAAACCTATAATCTAAAGGAATTTCAGACAAATGCACTACATTTGTCTGGATTAAAGAGGAACATCCATGATAGGTACACAAATCATCTCCCTCTTTTCAAAAATTCAAATATACTTAAGCCTCACTAATTCCTTGGGTGTGAAAAGTTGGTGAACTATGGAGAGGTGTGTCAGAAATAGATAGTATATGCCAATACCTTCTTGGTAAGAATGAAGGCAGAAAAAATTAAAGGTAAAGTATTATAAATAATCAAATAAATGAAGATATCTACTAAAGCATTCAAAGTACACAATTACAAAATCAGTCTTGTGGTGTGAATGATGAAGAAAAAATTCATGACTGAAGAAATTTGAATGGAAGGATGAATTAGCATTTGGATATATATACTTTATCATTTTAATAAGCTAAATAAATAATCCGTATCTGATTATTTTTATATATACCAAAAGTTGTTTCATAAAATGTATTCTTCCCGTAATGTGGAGAGGGGAATAGAGAGGGGTTAGTTAATGAGTACAAAATTATGGTTAGAAGAAATAAGATATAGTGTTAAATAGCACAACAGGGCAACTAGAGTTAACAATATTGTGTATTTCAAAATAATTAAAAGAGTTAAACTGAAATGCTGCTAATACAAAGATATGACAAATGTTTAAGATGATCAGTATCCCAATTACCTTATCATTACGCATTGTATGCTTGTATCAAAATGTCACATATGACCCATAAATATGAAAAATGTTATTTATTAAATATAAAATAAATTATTCCCAAGAAAAATGTTTATAAGGTAAGGTAGATACAAAAAGTTATTAAATATACACATACACACAAACACATGCACACAGGTACTGAATATGTACACTGGGCAGTTTCAAGGCAAGATGTGGGATCTTATTTTCTGTTAATTAGCTCTTAGTAGAAGTTTATACATTACAAAATAAGCAATAAATAAGCAAAAACGTAATATGTATGGAAAAATTATAAATTGAATTAAAATGTCATCAATATTGAAGATTTAGAAATTAAGAAATTAAGCAAGCCTTGGAAAATTGTCTACTAAATACTTTAGACAGAAACATTGGAAAAGTTTACACTTATCATTAGAAGAAAGCAAAATAACCTGGCCTCTATCAAATAGGATTGGGAACACAGTAAAATATAACAGAATGAGCTGAAAACAAACACAAAATTTAGGTCAGGAATATTAAAAACATTTATTGGGTTTTTAAATTTTTTATATATAAAGGTGCATAATAGTTGTTTATACTTATGGGATCCATGTGGTATTTAGAGACAAGCATAAAAGGTATAATGGTCAAGTCAGAGTAATTGAGATAGCCATCACCTTACATTTTTGGAATTTATTTGTGTGAGAAACATTCTAAATTCACTCCTCTAGCTATTTTGAAACGTACAATTGATTAGTTTCAATTTTTCATCTACCTACTCATCTATCTCGCTATACACTAATTGTGTATTTTTGTACCCATTAATCAAACCCTCTTTATCCCTTCCTCCCCATTATCCTTCTGTGCTTCTGTTAACCACCATTCTACCATGTACTATCATGAGATCAATTCTTTATCTACCACACATGAATGAGAACATATGATACTTGTTTTTCTATGCTTGGCTTACTTTATTTAAGGTAATGTCTCCCAGTTCCATTCATGTTGTTGCAAATGATATAATTTCATTCTAATAAAATCATGAATATTCTATTGTTTATATGTACCATATTTTCTTTATTCAGTCATCATTGATGGACACATACTTTTATTTCATATCTTAGCTATTATGAATATTGCTGTAATAAACATGGGAATACAGATGTCTCATCAATATACTGATTTAGTACCTTTCGGAAATATACCCAGCAGTGAGATTGCTGAATCATATGTTACTTCTATTTTTAGTTTTTTGCACAACATCTATTCTGTTCTTCATAGTAGCTGTACTAATATACGTTCCTACCAAGAGTGTACAAGGCTTCCCTTTTCTCTGCATCCTCACCAGCATCAGTTTTTTTGTGTGTCTTTATAATAAAAGCCATTTTAGCTATGGGGAAATGATTTATCATTGTGATTTTAATTTGCATTTCTCTGATTATTAGTGATGAGCAATTTTTTAAAAATATACCTGTTGGTCATTTGTATGTCTTCTTTTGAGAATTGCCTATTAAAATGTTTTATCCATTTTTTAAATCAGAATATTTTTTGCTATTGAGTTGTATGAGTTTTCCATGCAGAAGCTTTTTAGCTTTATGTGATCCCATTCATCTATTTTTGCTTTGATTGACTATGCTTAGTCAAGGAATCTTTGTCCATGCTAAGATCCTGAAGCCTTTTCCCAATGTTTGCTTCTAGGAATTTTATAGTTTCTTGTGTCACATTTCAGTTTTAAATTCATTTTGATTTGATTTTTTAATATGGTGAGAGATGGTGGTCTACTTTCATTCTTCTGAATATAAACATCTTGTTTTACCAAAACCATTTGTTGAATAGAGTGTCCTTACCCTCGTTGTATGTTCTTGGCACCTTTGTTGAAAATGATGTAACTGTGAATATATGGATTTATTTCGGATTCTCTCTTCAATTCTATTGTTCTGTGTGTCTGTTTTTGGGCCAGTAACAACAGCTTTAGTTACTATAGCTTTGCATTATAATATAAAGTCATGTAATATCAAGATTCCAGGTTCATTATTTTGCTCAGGATGGCTTTGGTTATTCTGGATCTTTTCGGTTTCATATAAATTTTAGGAATTTTGTTATATTTCTGTGTAGAACACCTTTGGTACATCAGCAGCAATTACATTGAACATGTATATTGTTTTGGGTAGTATAGACATTTTTAAAATATTGATTCTTCCACTTCATGAACATGAGATATATTTTCATTTTTTATGTCCTCTTCAATTTATATCATCTATGTTTTATGAGTTTTTTTTGTAGAGATCTTTAACTTCTGTAGTTAAGGTTATTCCTACATATTCTTAGTAGGTATTGTAAATGGAATTACATAAAAGCTAAAAGATTTCTTTTTCAGATTGTTTGCTCTTGGCATATAGAAATGCTACTGATTTTTCCTCTCTTCCTATTTGAATACCCTTTATTTCTTTCTCTTGCCTGATTTCTCCAGCCAGAACTTCCAATAGTATGTTGAATAGGAGTGGGGAGAGAGGGCACCCTTGTCTTGTGCCAGTTTTCAAAGGGAATGCTTCCAGCTTTTGCCCTTTCAGTATGATATTGCCTATGGGTTTGTCATAAACAGCTCCTACTATTTTGAGATATGTTCCATCAATACAAGTTTATTGAGAGTTTTTAGCATGAAGAGGTGTTTAATTTTATCATAGGGTTTTTCTGCATCTATTGAGATAATCATGTGGTTTTTGTCGTTGGTTCTGTTTATATGACGGATTATGTTTATTGATTTGCATATGTTGAACCAGCCTTGCATCCCAGAGATGAAGCTGACTTGATCATGTTGGATAAGCTTTTTGATGTGCTCCTGGATTCGGTTTGCTAGTATTTTATTGAGGATTTTTGCATCGATGTTCATCAGCAACATTAGCCAGAAATTTTCTTTTTTTGATGTGTCTCTGCCAGGTTTTGGAATCAGGATGATGCTGGCCTCATAAAACAAGTTAGAGAGGAGTTACTCTTTTTCTGTTGTTTGGAATAGTTTCAGAAGGAATGGTACCAGCTCTTCTTTGTACGGATTCAGTTGTGAATTTGTCTGGTCCTGGGCTTTTTGGTTCATAGGCTATTAATTACTGCCTCAATTTCAGAACTTGTTATTGGTCTATTCAGGGATTTGACTTCTTCTTCTTCCTGATTTAGTCTTGGGGGGTGTATGTGTCCAGAAATGTATCCATTTCTTCTAGATTTTCTAGTTTATTTGCGTAGAGGTGTTTATAGTATTCTCTGATGGTGGTTTGTATTTCTGTGGGATCGGTGGTGATATACCCTTTATCTTTTTTTTTATTGTATCTATTTGATTCTTCTTTCTTTTCTTCTTTATTAGTCTGGCTAGCAGTGTATCTATTTTGTTAATCTTTTAAAAAACCGAGCTCCTGGATTCACTGATTTTTTTTGAAGGGTTATTCGTGTCTCCATCTCTTTCAGTTCTGCTCTGATCTTAGCAGAACTGTCTAAATAAGAACTTATTTCTTGTCTTCTGCTAGCTTTTGAATTTCTTTGCTTTTGCTTCTCTAGTTCTTTTAATTGTAATGTTAGGGTGTTGATTTTAGAACTTTCCTGCTTTCTGATGTGGGCATTTGGTGCTATAAATTTCCCTCTAGACGATGCTTAACTGTGTACCAGAGATTCTGGTACGTTGTCACTTCATTCTCATTGGTTTCGAAGAATTTTGTTATTTCTGCCTTAATTTTGCTGTTTACCAAGTAGTCACTCAGGAGCAGACTGCTCAGTTTCCATGTAGATGTGAGGTTTTGAGTGAGTTTCTTAATCCTGAGTTCTGATTTGATTGCAATGTGGTCTGAGAGGCTGTTTGTTACGATCTCTGTTCTTTTGCATTTGCTGAGGAGTGTTTTACTTCCAATTATGTGGTCGATTTTAGGATAAATGCAATGTGGTGCTGAGAAGAATGTATATTCTGTTGATTTGAGGTGGAAAGTTCTATAGATAGCTATTAGATACACCTGGTCCACAGCTGAGTTTAAGTCCTGTTTGCAGACAACATGATTGTGTATTTAGAAAACCTCATCATCTCAGCACAAAAACTCCTTAAGCTGATAAACAACTTCAGCAAAGTCTCAGGATACACAATCAATGTGCAAAAATCACAAGCATTTCTATACAACAATAATAGACAATCATTCTACTATAAAGACACATGCACACGTATGTTTGTTGCAGCACTATTTACAATAGCAAAGACTTGGAACCAAACCAAATGCTCCTTAATGACAGACAGACAGAAAGAAAATGTGGCACATATACACCATGGAATACTGTGCAGTCATTAAAAAGAATGAGTTCATGTAGTTTACAGGAACATGGATGAAGCTGGAAGCCATCATCCTCAGCAAACTAACACAGGAGCAGAAAACCAAACGCTGCCTGTTCACACTCATAAGCGGGAGCTGAACAATGAGAACACAGGGAGGGGAACATTACACACTGGGGCCTGTCAAGGGGTTGGGAAAAGGTTAGGGAGAGCATTAGAACAAACACCTAATGCATGTGGAGCTTAAAACCTAGATAATGGGTTGATAGGTGAAGCAAACCACCACGGCACATGTATACCTATGTAACAAACCTGCACATTCAGCACATGTATCCCAGAACTTCAAGTAAAATTTAAAAAAAGAAAGAAATGCTACTGATTTTTATATGTTTATTTTCTATCCCCGACCTTACTGAATTTGTTTATCAGTTCTAATAATTTTTGAAATAATCGTTTTTTCTAGTTATAACATCATATCATCCACAAACAAGGATAATTTGACTCCTCTCCTTCCAATTCTGATATTGTTTATTTCTTTCTCTTGTCTAATTGCTCTGGCTAGTACTTCTAGCACTATGTTGAATAAAGTGGTGAAAGTGAGCATCCTTGTCCTCTTCCTGATCTAAGAGAAAAGGCTTTCAGTTTTTCCTTGTTCAGAATAATACTAGCTTGGGTTTCTTTCGTATGACCTCTATTGTGTTAAGGTATGTTCCTTTTATTCCCAGTTTGTTGATAGTTTTTATAATGAAGAAACCAAATTTTACTAATTTTTTATGTTTATTAAAATTATCATATGGTTTTTGTCCATTGTGCTGAAGTGATGTATCACACTTATTGATTTGTGTATTTTGAACCATCCTTGCATCCCAGGGATAAATCTTACTTGGTTATGATAAATGATCTTTTAAATATTTCATTGAATTTAGTTTGCCAGTCTGCTAGGCTTTTTAAAATAATTTTTGAAACAATATTCATCAGAGATTTTACCCTGTTGTTTTTGTTATTGTTGTTGTTGTCTTTGTCTGGTTTTGGTATTAGGGTAATGCTGGCATCCTAGAATGAGGTGTTTTGTTTTGTTCTGTTTTTGAGAGACAGTCTTGCTCTGTCACCCAGGCTGGAGGGCAGTGTCGTAATCTTCGCTCACTGCAACCTCCGCCTCCCAGGTTCAAGCCGTTCTTCTGCCTCAGCCTCTCGAATAGCTGGGACTACAGGTGCACACCAGAACTCCGGGCTAATTTTTGTATTTTTAGTAGAGATGGGGTTTCACCATATTGGTCAGGCTTGTCTTGATCTTCTGACCTCATGATCTGCACACTGTGGCCTCCCAAAGTGTTTGGATTACAGGCGTGAGCCACCATGCTCGGCCCCTAGAATGAGTTTTTAATTCTCTCCTCTTCAATTTATTGCAATAATTTGATTAAGATTGGTATTAATTTTTCCTTAAATGTTTGGTAGAATTCAGTGATGAAGCCATCAGTGCTTGCCTGGGTTTTTCTTTGATGAGAAGCTTTCTTTTATTGTTTCTATCTGTTTTTTTTTTTTTGGAGATGGAGTCTCGCTCTGTCACCCAGGCTGGAGTGCAGTGGTGTCATCTCGGCTCACTGCCAGCTCCACCTCCCAGGTTCACGCCATTCTCCTGCCTCAGCCTCCCGAGTAGCTGGGACTACAGGCGCCTGCCGCAACGCCCGGCTAATTTTTTGTATTTTTAGTAGAGACGGGGTTTCACCATGTTAGCCAGGATGGTCTTGATCTCCTGACCTCATGATCCACCTGCTTCGGCCTCCCAAAGTGCTGGGATTACAGGCGTGAGCCATCGCGACCGTCCTGTTGTATTACTTATAAATGTTTCTCTTACTTCCTCTGATTTTATTTGCATTTTTTCTCTTTTTTTCTTAGTCTGGCTAAAATTTATCAATTGTATCTTTTCACTATTGATTTTGTTTATCTTCCCTATGTTTTTGTCTCAGTTTTGCTTAGTTCCCTTTTGTGTTTATTATTTATTTCCTTCTACTAACTATGGGTATAGTTTTCTCTTGCTTTTCTGGTTCTTTAAAATGAATCATAAAGTTGTTTATTTGAAATTTTTCTACTATTTTGATCTAGGCATTTATTGCTATGAATTTCCCTTTTAGTATTACTTCTGGGAAGTAATACTAAATACTTCTGGAATACTAAATACTTCTGGGAAGTATTACCTAGAAGTCTTGGTATGTTGTATTTCTCTTTTTGTTTGTTTCAAATAAACTTTAAAAATTTCTCAATTTCTTTATTGATCCAATGGTCATTTAGGAGCATGTTTTTTAATAGCCATGTATTTTTACAGTTTCTAAAGTAGATTTTCTTGTTGATTAATAGTTTCATCTCATTTTGGTTGGAAAAGATGCTTGATATAATTTCCATTAAAAAATTTGACCTGTTTGTAGCATAGCATATAGTTTATCCATATATATATATGTCTGTGTGTGTGTGTGTGTGTGTGTGTGATGTCTTCTGGTAGTAGGCTTTAATTTTTTGCTTTTTATTTTCCGTGTATCTCTTATAGGTTTTTCCTTGTGGTTACCATGAGGCTTCCAAAAAACATTTTATAACCAATTATTTAAACTAATTACAACTTTTAAATTTCCTTCTTTGTCCTTGACCTTTGAGAGTTTGATTATTATATGCCTTGAGGTAGGCTTATTTGGGTAAAATCTGTTTGGTATTCTTTGACCGTATTGTACCTGGATATTCATATGTTTCTCTGGGTTTGGAAAGTTATCTGTCATTATTTCTTTGAATAAACTTTCTACAAATCACAAATAAGAATAAAAAACCAAAACTAAAACTACAAAACTTGACACTTTTACTCCAACCCCTCCATCCCCTAATTACTTGCTGTTTTCTGTATATCTTTCACTACAGGCCCACAGTCTCTGAGACCAGTGCTGTGTCAATGCTTGCCAAAGGACAGAAGTAATTATGGCCTGACTGGCACTCAAATTTATTTGGGGCCCCAGGCCACCATAGTCCGCTGGTGATGAAGTGTGCTGGGACTAGGCTTCTTCATACTGGACAGAGGATTCCCCTCTAGACTAGTGCTAGTCTAAATGCTCCTTCTATGAGCACTGACAGAATTCTGACCAGTGTCTTATTTCATTTTGACAGGGCAGTAGTGAATTCTATTGCAAAGTTCCACACACTTTTCTCTCCCTTCCTGTATTAGTTCGTTTTCATGCAACAGATAAAGACATACCCAAGACTGGGAAGAAAAAGAGGTTTAATTGGACTTACAGTTCCACGTGGCTGGGAAGGCCTTAAATCATGGTGGGAGGCAAAAGGCATTTCTTACATGGCAGTGGCAAGAGAAAATGAGGAAGAAGCAAAAGTGGAAACTCTTGACCAACCCATCAGATCTTGTGAGACTTATTCACTATCATGACAATGGCACAGGAAAGATTCAATTACCTCCCCTTGGGTCCCTCCCACAAAACGTGGGGATCCTGGGAGATAGATAGAATTCAAGTTGAGATTTGGGTGGGGACACAGCCAAACCATATCATTCCAACTCTGGCCCCTCTAAATCTCATGTCCTCACATTTCAAAACAATTGTGCCTTCCCAACAGTCCCCCAAAGTCTTAATTCATTTCAGCATTAGCCCAAAAGTCCATAGTCTAAAGACTCATCTGAGACAAGGCAAATCCCTTCCACCAATCAGCCTGTAAAATCAAAAGCAAGCTAGTTACTTCCTAGATACAATGGAGGTACAGGCATTGGGTAAATACACCTGTTTTAAATGGGAGAAATTGGCCAAAACAAAGAGTTACAGCACCCATGCAAGTCTGAAATACAGCAGGGCAGTCAAATTTTAAAGCTCCAAAATTATGTCCTTTGACTCCAGATCTCACGTCCAGGTCACACTGATGCAAAAGGTAGATTCCCATAGTCTTGGGCAGTAACACCCCTGTGGCTTTGCAAGGTACAGCCTCCTTCTCTACTGCTTTCACAGTCTGGCGTTGAGTGTCTCTGGCTTTTCCAGACACACGGTGCAAGCTGTCAGTGGGCCTACCATTCTGGAGTCTGGAGGACAGCTCCACTAGGCAGTGCCCCAGTAGGGAATCTGTGTTGGGACTCCAACCCCACATTTTCCTTCCACACTGCCTTAGCAGAAATTCTCCATGAGGGACCCACCCCTGCTGCAAACTTCTACCTGGGCATCCAGGCATTTCCATGTGTCTTCTGAAATCTAGGCAGAGGCTCCCAAACCTCAATTCTTGACTTCTGTGCACCCGCAGACTCAAGACCACATGGTAGCTGCCAAAGTTTGGGGCTTGCACCCTCTGAAGCCACAGACTGAGCTGTACATTAGCCCCTTTCAGCCACAGATGGAGCAGCTGGGACACAGGACACCAAGTCCCTATGGTGCACGCAGGATGGGGACCCTGGACCCGGCCCATGAAACAACTTTTTTCTCCCGGGCCTCCAGGCCTGTAATGGGAGGGGCTGTCGTGAAGGTCTCTGACATGGCCTGGAGACGTTTTCCTCATGGTCGTGGGTATTAACGTTAGGCTTCTTGCTATTTATGCTAATTTCTGCAGCCAGCTTGAATTTCTCCCCCGAAAATTGGTTTTCTCAAATCTCTACTAAAAATTTTGCATAGTCAGGCTGCAAATTTTCCAAACCTTTTTGCTCTGCTTCTTTTATAAAACTGAATGCCTTTAACAGCACCCAAGTCATCTCAAGTCATCTCTTGAATGCTTTGCTGCTTGGAAATTTTTTCCAACAAATACCGTAAATCATCTCTCTCAAGATCAAATTCCACAAATATCTAGGGCAGGGGCAAAATGCTGCCATTCTCTTTGCTAAAACATAACAAGAGTCACCTTTGCTCCAGTTCCCAACAAGTTCCCCATCTCTATCTGAGACCACTTCAGCCTGGACCTTATTGTCCATATCACTATCAGCATTTTGGGAAAAGACTCTAGGAAGTTCCAAACTTTCCCACATTTTCCTGTCTTCTTCTGAGCCCTTCAAACTCTTCCAATCTCTGCCCGTTACCAGTTCCAAAGTCACTTTGACATTTTCAAGGATCGTTTCAGCAATGCCCCAATCTACTGGTACCAATTTACTGTATTAGTCCGTTTTCACACAGCTGATAAAGACGTACCCGAGACTGAGAAGAAAAAGAGGTTTAATGGGATTTACAATTCCATATGGCTGGGGAGGCCTCAGAATCATGAAGGGAGGCAAAAAGCACTTCCCACATGGTGGTGGCAAGAGAAAATGAGGAAAAAATATAAGCAGAAATCCCTGATAAACCCATCAGATCTCATGACACTTATTCACTATCAGGAAAATAGCACGGGAAAGACTGGCCCCCATGACTCAATTACCTCACCCTGGGTCCCTCTCACAACATGTGGGAATTCTGGGAGATACAATTCAAGTAGAGATTTGGGTGAGGACACAGTTAAACCGTATCACTTCCCCAAGTGCACAGACGATCTCTTTGAGCTGCACTGCCTTGGGATGGGGGAGAGGTGGCGTAGAGAATACAAGATTTTTCTTTGTACCTTCTTCGATGTGTCTTTTGTTATTATGTTTAAAAAACAGATATTTTCATTGCTCACTTGATACTGGGGTGCGGTGGGGAGGATTTCAAAGGTGCCTTCCTGCACAGATAGTTGTTCAATTTGGTATTCTTTTGTGGGGATCATCACTGGATGATTCTATTCAGCCCTCTTGCCATGATTCTTTCTAGTATTTTAAATGAAGAGACACTTAAATATTGCTGCTGTTATATTTGTTCTGGCCTCTTAGGGACATCAATTATCACATATAGTCACCATATTCTCTTTTGTTATGAATAATACTTTTCCTCTCATTGTTTCTTTTTATTCTTTCAGTCATTTTCATATGCAACTCCTAATGTAGTAGCAAAATTTTAATTTTAATTTTGCTATTGTGTCTTTATTTTTTTAAATATCTTTATCTATGCAAATTCCATTTCATCTCATCCATTCTCTATTTGATCTTCATAAACTTTGTTGCCATAAAAAAATCTATAGTTATATTTTATGCACTACACACTTTAAGGATTTCAAACATTCTTATACAATTATCTTCTAGATAATGCATTAGACATTTTTCAAAAGAATTTTCTTCCTCTCATTACTCTGGATGTTTATAACTGTGACAAAGCTTCACTGAGCCTGTATTTTTGTTTGTTGCTGGGCAAGTTTCTTTATTGGCCAGCATCACTCAACATTCATGATATATGATTTTCCTTGTTGGCTGTTATTTTTTTGTGCAGATCCAATTCCCTTCTCAAGTCATCCTGTGGAGAGAAGGTTGATGACACAGATCTCAGATCACTTCTGGTCTGGTAGAAGACTTTCACATAGAACACCTCTGGTACAATGTGAGTCATCTTTTTGCTGTCCCCTGTGTCTGTTTCTGTTCTAATCTGATATGACAGAAAACTTAAAAAGCTAAAACTCCCTCTAGAAATATTTATTTTTCACTCTGCTTCACTTGACCTACAACTTCCAGAATCTATTATGGTACAATAATATTTCTTTCAAATAATGTTTTTATAATTTGCAATCTCTGCCAGAATACAGAATTTTGTGACATATATCAGCATTCTGACTACCCTTTACTTTCTTTTTTGAAGTAAGAAGTACAAATCCTAAACAAAATGTGAAAGTTTTTTTATTTCCTGCTGTTTTAAACAGATAAAGCAGATTTAAACTAGATATAGATAGAATAATTCCTATTGATGTTGATTTGTTTTTATTTTCACTTCAAATTATATGCATAAGCCAATTCCAGATATATTAATTGAAACTTTCAAGGGAAGAGCGGAAAAGTATATTTTTAATTACTACTCTCAAAGATATTGATTCCAACTTTTGGTAAAGAACTATATAATAGAGAGGTATCTCATTTTTTAGTTGGTATAAGAACCCCATCCTCTAAATCATTAGTGAGGAAATGAGAACTGTACATACACACTTTTTTTCATATGATTTTGTTTTATGAGAAGAATCCAGAAAATAACAACCTGTCAAAGTCAAAGTTAAATTTTCTTTATCTGGCTGCACTTTTCTTAGTTAGAGGTTCCTAACTACATTTTGGTGCTATATTGTCTTAGTATTAGATATAACTGTGAGGTTCTGTTCTTCTCCCTTTTGCATCATAATAGTTTTAGCCAAAGTTTAGAATACTATATCAGTGGATTCCAGCTGTATGACATTTTACCCTAGGATTTCTAAAAATTATTTTAATGGCACGTAAAAGTATGGCACAGTTGTTTGGAAAATTTGCTTGGAATAACATAAACCTTGATTTAAATAAGAAAATTAATGTATGTCCTTTTAGATATTATTTCACATTCTCCCCAATTCTACATTTATATGAGCCTAATTATTTTTTGAATTATTCTGATAATCATCTGTACACATAATTTTCACACAAGGGCATACCTCTGGCTTTAGTGTTAAAGACATTACAAGGAATAATTTCAGATTCATTCTTTTCTTATTTTTAATTAAAGAATTTAAGATTATTGGCTATATTGCAAAGTATTTGATCCTCCAACCTACACCTGTGGGTGTCCTACTTCATATTTTGAGGTAAGAAGCATAAATGCTAACCAAAATGCAAAATTTCTTTAATTTCCTGCCAAAGTTTAGATTCTATTTTTGCCAAAGCAGAAGAAAAGCACATTATACAGAATATGCCTCTCTGGTTGTCAGTTCTCCTGCCAGCTTTACTTTAGCACCATCGAGCTGCGACAGCAGATGGACTCCCCAAGTTAGCACTTGGAATGGAAAGGTGTTTAGAGGACCGTGGTGGTAAGTGCAATTCCTTAATGAGAAATTATGAAGAAGGCAGAAAGGAAAGTAACCTATTAAATTATGCAACTAAACAGTAAATTTCAACCATTCAGCAGGTATTTTAAATGCATTTTTCAGATCCCGGGTTTGGGATAAAAAGATTTCTATTAGTTCGCTTCTCAAATCCAACAGTCAATTCTCAGATCTCATCCTACTTGTCAGCATTTGCACATTTGATTATTCTTTTTGAAAAAAAATTTATTCACATTCACATGGACTACACGCAAAGATTATTTTCTTCCAACCTCACTGGTGGATACTCTGCCCTATCCTTTCTAGAACTATCTCTTCCTCATCAGTGGTAAATTTTGGAATTCCTCAAAGCTCAATCTTCATATTTCTTTGCTTTCCAAAAATGATCTCATTTAGACCCATAGCTTTAAAGGCCACTGACCCATTTATGCCAGAGGTTGCAATTTTTTGAATGTTTGCATGAGTGAAAAATCAGACCTTAGTGATGACCTTGAGCAGTAGGATATAAATAATTCCCACATGCTTAGTGTTCCAATAATGGAACACTAGGCATAAGGGATAGTATGTTGATGGGTCCAAAATTTTCATATTTACTTCAAACTTCTTATATGAACTATAGATCTGAAATTTTAAAAACAGTTTAAAGTGCTCACTTGAGAGTCTGTACAGTATTTCAAAAGTATGAGTCCAAACGTTCTACTTTCTATAACCTGATCTACTCTTACTGTTCTTTATGGTAATACATGGCACCATCGTTTCACTTCCACCCATCCTGTGGGATTTATCCTCCTATAATATACAACTAGAAAACTTGACAAATTATATGAGGCAGCTGTTTTTAGACATTGAACTGAGACAGAGTAGTGGTATGTGGAAGCTATCATCAAAACTGGCTCCCAATGATCCCTTCCTTCTTGTACTCATACCCTGATGTGTTTACCTCTCACATTGAATAGGACTGACCTATGCAGCCATTGTAGTATGGTTAAAATTATTATGTGTGACTTCCAAGGCTATTTCCTTAAAAAATTGTGATTTCTACCTTTCGCTCTTTTGAAAATCTTTAACGGGAGAAGCCAGATAAAAGAAATGAAGATAGCCTGTGGAGAGATCCATGTGAAGAGGATACAAAACCTCTTGCTAATAGCCATACGAGTGATCCAAGTTTGAATCGGATACTCCAAGCTCAGTTGAGCTACCAGATAAGCTCAACTTAAATCAATATATTTACTACAATCTATGAGAAACCTTGAGCTAAAACCACCCAGAAAAGTTATTACAAGATTCCTGATCCACCCAGAAATATGTAAAATAATAAATTTATATTGTTATAGGCTGTTACATTTTAAGATAATAAAGTACTCAGCAATACATAACTAATACAGATCTAGGAAATCTGAAAGTGGAGAGCTACTACTAAACTAAAATATGGGAGAGGATTTTAGAATTAGACAATGATCAGAAGCTACAAGGACTCTTATGAGAGAGCTAGTGAAATACTAATGTTTTGAATAGAAAGCTGATGGACTTTGAAGAGGCTGTCAGTGAGGGCTTAAAGGAAAGTGAGGAAATTGTTATTAGGAACTAGAAGAATGGGAATACTGATTATTTAGTGGCAGAAACTTCAGCAACACAGTTGACTGCAGTAATGTGGAAAATAGAAAATGTATCCAGTGAACTGGATGATGAAGCTAAGAACATTTCCAGGAAGTATTAATGGTGCCACCAAGTTTATTTTTGCTGCTTATGGTAAAATGTGAAGTTTGATTTACATAGTTCCAAAACCACTTATATGAACTTGATCTATTGTAGTTCTGCAGATCTGTGTTCTTGCAACTCATTGTTTAGTTCTCTGCTATTTTTCAAATATTTAACATACTAAACACCAAAATCTCCACACTCCACTATATGTACTGTATATATTGCCACTGTGTCTCAACTAGTCTTCTGATTATTTTATAAGTTATTTGTGAACATTTGAGAACACTGTGCAGCTCAATCAGCCTTTACTTGTGCAATTAGAATTTGTCTTCAGAATTTGGTAGTTTATGACTCTCTGAGCAAGAGAGATTGACAAGAAAATAAGTAAATTTTAGTCTTGTTGCCTGAAAAACTAGTAAAAGTAGAGTAAAATTTGATCTTTTTTATATTCAAGAGCTTAAATTTCTGAAACTATGAGTGAAGAAAAGGGGGCAGAGCATGAAAAATCTAAGGGTTTATATTTTCCATCTTTTTGAACTGGACTTGGATTTAGCATCTCCAGAAAATAAGCTACAGGAAATTCAAATAGTTATGTTGTATGTGGAAATGCTGAAGAAACCACAAGTGTTTAGCCTACAGATAAAAAGACTTAGGGCAGAGAGGGGAAATTATGACAATTATCTCCAAACGTCTTAAAAGAGATCATTTGCTAGTAAAGCACATTTTTTGCCTGTTTTACTATAAAACACAAAACAAGCATCCGTCTTGAATAGTGTAAAGGAGCTATCCTCTACTTAAATATAGAATCGTATGATAGAGTGTGTCACTTATGGAATGATCAGCCTACTAAAGTCATGAGCTCTTCATCACTGTTGTAGAACAGATTCATGGACTTAAAAGGGATTTTGACCAAATTCTCTATAATTCCTCTCTAATCCTTAGATTCTGTGTTGTGTTCTTTTTAATATTTTGCTGTTTATTGGGACAAATGGCAAATTTTCAAAACACACTCTATTATTCTTAACACAGTTCGCATTAAAGGCAATGGAATACTTGGATTCTTTTTTCTGTGTAAACTGAATCAAGGCAAATAATGTTGAATATTCTACTTATTTAATATCATTTTTATTTTATATTCTGGAAAAGGTAAAACTATAAGACTCTTAGTAGTCTAGCTCCTAAGAATTTACATTCACCATTTACATAAAAATACACTTACTAGTGGTTAACACGGGTACCAAAATATCAGAAACGGAACAGTAAGTCATTGATTCAGTTGCACCAGTACCTACCTCAAAATTAGATGTGTGTATATTCATTTATGTATTTATCCGCTGGAAAATGATGTTAGATATTGAAGTTACAAATTATAAATGTAATCTTATCTTTATAATCTCATAGTCTAGAAGATACACACTTCTAAAATAGTAAATTCAAAAACATTATTTAGTAAAACAAAATCAAGAGAAAGAATAATATGGTGTTTTTAGGGATGAACACTTATTTCACACCACTTGCCAGAGGGAAGTCTATAATTTACTTTTTTTTGCAGTCTCATTTAGTCTACCCTTGGACAAAAGAAAAATCTTACTTGATTGGTGAGATTAGCATGAAGCACTGGGGATGTGTAGCTCTGCCCTTTCTTCTGGAATCCAAGCTCTCTATAGATAATATGGGTTCTTCTCCACTATCTTACAGAGATCTATGGGGATCCTACATAAGCTGTGAAAGGTTTCAGTATCAAGAAGTCCACTTACTGGCAGAAAAATGCATAGTGCCCAATAATGCCTTTATCTGTTGAAAAAATTGTTTTCTACTTAAATTAGAATAAAGTTTCACTTGATCACAGTAAAATGGTAATTATGATCTCAGTTATTCCACAATCAAAAGAAAAGTAAGTTTCTCACTTTTTTTTGTTTTCAAGTAAGGTAACATTTGGAACAATAAAATTGACCATTTTTGGTTTACAGTTCTTAAAGTTTTGACAAATGCATTCTGGTCTTGCAACTACCAACTTATATAATTAAGATAGAAAAGAGTTATATCAATCACCTGTCAAAATTCATCCATGCCCTTTTGAATATCTAAGTGATATTTTTCACCAATTTGGAAGAAAATTATCCATTATCTCTTAAATATTTTTTGTGTCGTATTCTCTCTTTTCTGTCTTTCTGGTAATTAAATTACATGAATGTTAGATGTTTGATATTGCCCTACAGGTTTCAAGACAGTCTTTCTCTTTTTTCATTCTTTTTCTCATTAGTGCTGATTTCCATTGATCAGGCCTCAAATTTACTAAAACTTTCTTCTGCTGTGTTTGGTCTATTACTAAGAACACTGAATAAAATTTTTCAGTGTGCCTACTATTATTATTATCTGGAATTCAGATTTTTTCCTTTTATCAGTATTCATTTTCCTGTTGAAATTTTATATTTCTTTATCCATTTTGTTCATATCATGTAATTTAACATAGCTTTCTATATAAAATAATTATTTTAAAGTCCTAATTCTAACATTAGAATCATGTGACAGTACGCTTTTATCATATTTTCTGTTTCCATGACCACTCCTTTGCATGTCTTGTAATTTGTTTAATGTCTTGTAATTTGTTTATATTCTTTTTTTTTAAAAGACAAAAAACATGATCATTTTAATAGATGCCAAAAAGCATCTGATAAAACTCAACATCTTCTCCAGATAAAAACTCTTAGACAAACGAGGGACCTTACGTCAACCTAAAGGCCATATATGACAAACTCACAGTCAATACACTGAATGGGAGAAAGCTGAAATTCTTTCCTGTAACATCTGGAACAAGACAAGGATGCCCACAGACACCATCCCTATTCAAATGTTGGCAAGGATGCAGAGAAAAGGGAACTCTTCCACACTGTTTGTAGAATGCAACTTAGTACATTCACATGAAATGTATGTGGAAAAACAGTAGAAAGACTTCTCAGAAAACTAAAAATAGAACTATTATACGATCCAGCATTCCCATTATTGGATATTTCTTTTTTTTTTTAATTATACTTTAAGTTTTAGGGTACATGTGCACATTGTGCAGGTTAGTTACATATGTATACATGTGCCATGCTGGTGCGCTGCACCCACTAACTCGTCATCTAGCATTAGGTATATCTCCTAATGCTATCCCTCCCCCCTCCCCCCACCCCACCACAGTCCCCAGAGTGTGATATTCCCCTTCCTGTGTCCATGTGATCTCATCGTTCAATTCCCACCTATGAGTGAGAATATGTGGTGTTTGGTTTTTTGTTCTTGTGATAGTTTACTGAGAATGATGATTTCCAATTTCATCCATGTCCCTACAAAGGACATGAACTCATCATTTTTTATGGCTGCATAGTATTCCATGGTGTATATATGCCACATTTTCTTAATCCAGTCTATCATTGTTGGACATTTGGGTTGGTTCCAAGTCTTTGCTATTGTGAATAATGCCGCAATAAACATACGTGTGCATGTGTCTTTATAGCAGCATGATTTATAATCCTTTGGGTATATACCCAGTAATGGGATGGCTGGATCAAATGGTATTTCTAGTTCAAGATCCCTAAGGAATCGCCACACGGACTTCCACAATGGTTGAACTAGTTTACAGTCCCACCAACAGTGTAAAAGTGTTCCTATTTCTCCACATCCTCTCCAGCACCTGTTGTTTCCTGACTTTTTAATGATTGCCACTCTAACTGGTGTGAGATGGTATCTCATTGTGGTTTTGATTTGCATTTCTCTGATGGCCAGTGATGGTGAGCATTTTTTCATGTGTTTTTTGGCTGCATAAATGTCTTCTTTTGAGAAGTGTCTGTTCATATCCTTCGCCCACTTTTTGATGGGGTTGTTTGTTTTTTTCTTGTAAATATGTTCTTGTAAATCATTGTAGATTCTGGATATTAGCCCTTTGTCAGATGAGTAGGTTGTGAAAATTTTCTCCCATTTTGTAGGTTGCCTGTTCACTCTGATGGTAGTTTCTTTTGCTGTGCAGAAGCTCTTTAGTTTAATTAGATCCCATTTGTCAATTTTGGCTTTTGTTGCCATTGCTTTTGGTGTTTTAGACATGAAGTCCTTGCCCATGCCTATGTCCTGAATGGTAATGCCTAGGTTTTCTTCTAGGGTTTTTATGGTTTTAGGTCTAAGGTTTAAATCTTTAATCCATCTAGAATTGATTTTTGTATAAGGTGTAAGGAAGGGATCCAGTTTCAGCTTCCTACATATGGCGAGCCTGTTTTCCCAGCATCATTTATTAAATAGGGACTCCTTTACCCATTGCTTGTTTTTCTCAGGTTTGTCAAAGATCAGATAGTTGTAGGTATGCGGCGTTATTTCTGAGGGCTCTATTCTGTTCCATTGATCTATATCTCTGTTTTGGTACCAGTACCATGCTGTTTTGGTTACTGTAGCCTTGTAGTATAGTTTGAAGTCAGGTAGTGTGATTCCTCCAGCTTTGTTCTTTTGACTTAGGATTGCCTTGGCAATGCGGGGTCTTTTTTGGTTCCATATGAACTTTAAAGTAGTTTTTTCCAATTCTGTGAAGAAAGTCATTGGTAGCTTGATGGGGATGGCATTGAATCTGTAAATGACCTTGGGCAGTATGGCCATTTTCATGATATTGATTCTTCCTACCCATGAGCATGGAATGTTCTTCCATTTGTTTGTATCCTCTTTTATTTCCTTGAGCAGTGGTTTGTAGTTCTCCTTGAAGAGGTCCTTCACATCCCTTGTAAGTTGGATTCCTAGGTATTTTATTCTCTTTGAAGCAATTGTGAATGGGAGTTCACTCATGATTTGGCTTTCTGTTTGTCTGTTGTTGCTGTATAAGAATGCTTGTGATTTTTGTACATTGATTTTGTATCCTGAGACTTTGCTGAAGTTGCTTATCAGCTTAAGGAGATTTTGGGCTGAGACAATGGGGCTTTCTAGATATACAATCATGTCGTCTGCAAACAGGGACAATTTGACTTCCTCTTTTCCTAATTGAATACCCTTTATTTCCTTCTCCTGCCTAATTGCCCTGGCCAGAACTTCCAACACTCTGTTGAATAGGAGTGGTGAGAGAGGGCATCCCTGTCTTGTGCCAGTTTTCAAAGGGAATGCTTCCAGTTTTTGCCCATTCAGTATGATATTGGCTGTGGGTTTGTCATAGATAGCTCTTATTATTTTGAAATACGTCCCATCAATACCTAATTTATTGAGAGTTTTTAGCATGAAGGTTGTTGAATCTTGTCAAAGGCTTTTTCTGCATCTATTGAGATAATCATGTGGTTTTTGTCTTTGGCTCTGTTTATATGCTGGATTACATTTATTGATTTGTGTATATTGAACCAGCCTTGCATCCCAGGGATGAAGCCCACTTGACCATGGTGGATAAGCTTTTTGATGTGCTGCTGGATTCGGTTTGCCAGTATTTTATTGAGGATTTTTGCATCAATGTTCATGAAGGATATTGGTCTAAAATTCTCTTTTTTTGTTGTGTCTCTGCCCGGCTTTGGTATCAGAATGATGCTGGCCTCATAAAATGAGTTAGGGAGGATTCCCTCTTTTTCTATTGATTGGAATAGTTTCAGAAGGAATGGTACCAGTTCCTCCTTGTGCCTCTGGTAGAATTCGGCTGTGAATCCATCTGGTCCTGGACTCTTTTTGGTTGGTAAACTATTGATTATTGCCACAATTTCAGCTCCTGTTATTGGTCTATTCAGAGATTCAACTTCTTCCTGGTTTAGTCTTGGGAGAGTGTATGTGTCGAGGAATTTATCCATTTCTTCTAGATTTTCTAGTTTATTTGCATAGAGGTGTTTGCAGTATTCTCTGATGGTAGTTTGTATTTCTGTGGGATCAGTGGTGATATCCCCTTTATCATTTTTTATTGTGTCTATTTGATTCTTCTCTCTTTTTTTCTTTATTAGTCTTGCTAGCAGTCTATCAATTTTGTTGATCCTTTCAAAAAACCAGCTCCTGGATTCATTGATTTTTTGAAGGGTTTTTTGTGTCCCTATTTCCTTCAGTTCTGCTCTGATTTTAGTTATTTCTTGCCTTCTGCTAGCTTTTGAATGTGTTTGCTCTTGCTTTTCTAGTTCTTTTAATTGTGATGTTAGGGTGTCAATTTTGGATCTTTCCTGCTTTCTCTTGTGGGCATTTAGTGCTATAAATTTCCCTCTACACACTGCTTTGAATGTGACCCAGAGATTCTGGTATGTTGTGTCTTTGTTCTCGTTGGTTTCAAAGAACATCTTTATTTCTGCCTTCATTTCATTATGTACCCAGTAGTCATTCAGGAGCAGGTTGTTGAGTTTCCATGTAGTTCAGTGGCTTTGAGTGGGATTCTTAATCCTGAGTTCTAGTTTGATTGCACTGTGGTCTGAGAGATAGTTTGTTATAATTTCTGTTCTTTTACATTTGCTGAGGAGAGCTTTACTTCCAACTATGTGGTCAATTTTGGAATAGGTGTGGTGTGGTGCTGAAAAAAATGTATATTCTGTTGATTTGGGGTGGAGACTTCTGTAGATGTCTATTAGGTCCGCTTGGTGCAGAGCTGAGTTCAATTCCTGGGTATCCTTGTTGACTTTCTGTCTCGTTGATCTGTCTAATGCTGACAGTGGGGTGTTAAAGTCTCCCATTATTATTGTGTGGGAGTCTAAGTCTCTTTGTAGGTCACTCAGGACTTGCTTTATGAATCTGGGTGCTCCTGTATTGGGTGCATATATATTTAGGATAGTTAGCTCTTCTTGTTGAATTGATCCCTTTACCATTATGTAATGGCCTTCTTTGTCTCTTTTGATCTTTGTTGGTTTAAAGTCTGTTTTATCAGAGACTAGGATTGCAACCCCTGCCTTTTTTTGTTTTCCATTTTCTTGGTAGATCTTCCTCCATCCTTTTATTTTGAGCCTATGTGTGTCTCTGCACGTGAGATGGGTTTCCTGAATACAGCACACTGATGGATCTTGACTCTTTATCCAGTTTGCCAGTCTGTGTCTTTTAATTGGAGAATTTAGTCCATTTACATTTAAAGTTAATATTGTTATGTGTGAATTTGATCCTTTCATTATGATGTTAGCTGGTGATTTTGCTCATTAGTTGATGCAGTTTCTTCCTAGTCTCGATGGTCTTTACACTTTGGCATGATTTTGCAGTGGCTGGTACTGGTTGTTCCTTTCCATGTTTAGCGCTTCCTTCAGGAGCTCTTTTAGGGGAGGCGTGGTGGTGACAAAATCTCTCAGCATTTGCTTGTCTGTAAAGTATTTTATTTCTCCTTCACTTATGAAGCTTAGTTTGGCTGGATATGAAATTCTGGGTTGAAAATTCTTTTCTTTAAGAATGTTGAATATTGGCCCCCACTCTCTTCTGGCTTGTAGGGTTTCTGCTGAGAGATCCGCTGTTAGTCTGATGGGCTTCCCTTTGAGGGTAACCCGACCTTTCTCTCTGGCTTCCCTTAACATTTTTTCCTTCATTTCAACTTTGGTGAATCTGACAATTATGTGTCTTGGAGTTGCTCTTCTGGAGGAGTATCTTTGTGGCATTCTCTGTATTTCCTGAATCTGAACGTTGGCCTGCCTTGCTAGATTGGGGAAGTTCTCCTAGATAATATCCTGCAGAGTGTTTTCCAACTTGGTTCCATTCTCCCCATCACTTTCAGGTACACCAATCAGACGTAGATTTGGTCTTTTCACATAGTCCCATATTTCTTGGAGGCTTTGCTCATTTCTTTTTATTCTTTTTTCTCTAAACTTCCCTTCTCGCTTCATTTCATTCATTTCATCTTCCATTGCTGATACCCTTTCTTCCAGTTGATCACATCGGCTCCTGAGGCTTCTGCATTCTTCACGTAGTTCTCGAGCCTTAGTTTTCAGCTCCATCAGCTCCTTTAAGCACTTCTCTGTATTGGTTATTCTAGTTATACATTCTTCTAAATTTTTTTCAAAGTTTTCAACTTCTTTGCCTTTGGTTTGAATGTCCTCCCGTAGCTCAGAGTAATTTGATCGTCTGAAGCCTTCTTCTCTCAGCTCGTCAAAGTCATTCTCCATCCAGCTTTGTTCCGTTGCTGGTGAGGAACTGCGTTCCTTTGGAGGAGGAGAGACGCTCTGCGTTTTAGAGTTTCCAGTTTTTCTGTTCTGTTTTTTCCCCATCTTTATGGTTTTATCTACTTTTGGTCTTTGATGATGGTGATGTACAGATGGGTTTTTGGTGTGGATGTCCTTTCTGTTTGTTAGTTTTCCTTCTAACAGACAGGACCCTCAGCTGCAGGTCTGTTGGAATACCCTGCCGTGTGAGGTGTCAGTGTGCCCCTGCTGGGGGGTGCCTCCCAGTTAGGCTGCTCGGGGGTCAGGGGTCAGGGACCCACTTGAGGAGGCAGTCTGCCGGTTCTCAGATTTCCAGCTGCGTGCTGGGAGAACCACTGCTCTCTTCAAAGCTGTCAGACAGGTACATTTAAGTCTGCAGAGGTTACTACTGTCTTTTTGTTTGTCTGTGCCCTGCCCCCAGAGGTGGAGCCTACAGTGGCAGGCAGGCCTCCTTGAGCTGTGGTGGGCTCTACCCAGTTCGAGCTTCCTGGCTGCTTTGTTTACCTCAGCAAGCCTGGGCAATGGTGGGCGCCCCTCCCCCAGCCTCACTGCCCCCTTGCAGTTTGATCTCAGACTGCTGTGCTAACAATCAGCGAGACTCCGTGGGCGTAGGACCCTCCGAGCCAGGTGTGGGATATAGTCTAGTGGTGCGCCGTTTTTTAAGCCGGCCTGAAAAGCGCAATATTCGGGTGGGAGTGAACCGATTTCCAGGTGCGTCTGTCACCCCTTTCTTTGACTCGGAAAGGGAACTCCCTGACCCCTTGCGCTTCCCAGGTGAGGCAATGCCTCGCCCTGCTTCGGCTCGCGCACCCACTGCCTGGCACTCCCTAGTGAGATGAACCCGGTACCTCAGATGGAAATGCAGAAATCACCCGTCTTCTGCGTCGCTCACGCTGGGAGCTGTAGACCGGAGCTGTTCCTATTCGGCCATCTTGGCTCCTCCCTCAATTTGTTTATATTCTAAGCATCATGGGTAATACATTTTTGAGACTCTGGATGATATTTTGTTTTAGATAGCTTTGAGTTTTGATCCTACAGGCAGTCCATTTACGGAAAGTTAGCATTTATCTTACCAGACTTTATTTTAAAAATGTTACGGTGATGCCTATCTCAGTTTTTCTCTTTGTCGTACAGCATACACGTTATCCCTAATGCATAAGCCTGGGCTTTTCTGGCATCTCACTGAATATTTTTCTTGAAGTTCAATCTATCTTGGATAGGGTGGAGCTCCATGGTTTCCCTTGGAATTCTCTGTTCAACTTTCAGATCGCCACAAAATGCTCATGATATCTCTCAAAGAATGATTTCCTGGATTTGTTCAGTTTGGAATTTAGCCAAGGACTGGGTAAACTCCTATCCAGTTGTATGGGGATTTAGCCATCCTAGCAGCCTCAATCTTCATTTTCTCTCTTTTCCATCCAGAGACACTGCTTTTCCCTGAGCTCCATTTCCCTACTTTGCTGTTTTAAAAGTGGTCTAAGAGATTTACTCATACAAAATGAGATCTCACCCTGGGCAATATACTTACTCTATAAAACCCCACTTTCATCATTGATTTAATTGTATATTTTGACATAAAATTTGTACAATTTCCTATTAGCTTTAAAATAGTTTTAACTGTGAGCACAAGTATCTCCGTTTCTTCAAAAATGCTCGCAAATGGTTTTGACCCACATCTTTGGGTCACTATGTTCATAATTTCATCAAATGCCAAATGAAAAATAACTCAATTATAAATTACTTTATGCTCTGAAATATAGAGGACCTTTTAAGGAATTAATCTTTCTCCCAAAATTAATGTCTTTCTTAGTAAATGATATGTATTTTTATAATTTAAAATAGATATTATGTTAAGAAATAGATATTTAATCATTGTTGATAATATACCCTTATTTTTATTTAAATCTTAAAATTCAAATTTACAATAAAAATAAGTGTTCAACACAATAATGTAGGCTTTCATTGCTCCAGTTCATGTTCACTTAGCACTTTGCTCATTGATTGTTATTTCAAAAAAATAAGTAAATGTTCAGGTTGCTTGATTTAAAAAGATGTAAATAAAAGGAGATAAATATTATAAATTATTGACATTAGAAATAAACTTAGGTGTCATCTAACCTACCCTCTTTATTGCAACATCCATTATGTTACAGAATAGAAACCAAAAATCCAAAAAGTTAAGCAATTTGCCTAATACCTTATAGGTAAATAACAACCAAATTGAGATTCAGACAAGTCCTCCTTAACCCACACCACAATCATTTTCTTTACACTACAAATAATATATAATATCTATCTTGACAGAAATAAGATATATGGATTAATAATGGCTGTCTTCAGAAAAGGGAATTGAATTTTTTAAATTTATCGAATCAATAAAGTTGTTTTTCAATATGACTATAGAATAAAATGCTTAAATTTAAATGGAAATTTTCTATATCATCTTAGTCCACTTGGGCTACTAGAAGAATAATACCGTAAAGTAGACAGGTTATAAACAAACCTATACTTCACAGTTTTGGAGGCTGGAAAGTTCCAGTTTAAGGTGCTGACAGATTTGGTGTCTGGTAAGGGCCTGCTTTCTCATAGATTGCACCATCTTCCTATGTCCTCAAATGGTGAATTAGGATAGCATGTTTCCTCAGACCTCTTTATAAAGGCACTAATCCCATTCATAATGGCTCTACTTTTATCATCAAATCACCTCCCAAAAGGCCCACTTCCTAATGCCATCACCTTGAGGGTTAGTATTTCAACATGTGAATTTTGAGAAAAGTAAAACATTCAGGCTGTTGCACATATTATCTGACTAAAGTAGAATTTAGCAATATTTTGATTTCTAGAAGCTGAGCATGCTATCGGTTGGTAAGGACTATGTAGGCAATTGAAACCACTGTACTTATTTTGGTGTCCTGCTGCCATATATTTGAAAGGTTGATAAACTCTGGGTTCAAGTCTATATGTTGTTCACTAGTTGAATTTATCCTAGTTTTTGAACATGTATCTAACATGCTATGTAAGCGTCCTGAAACAAGAATATGCCTTTTAGCATAATGTTACTTCTAACTTTTCTATTTTTAGATATTGAAATATCATTCTTTCCATATATTATAGAATTTCAAAGGGCAGTTATTTCCTTTCAAAATGTGTTATAGAAATGTCCGGTTTCCTCTTTGACAGCTAGAGAGTTTGGAAGTCATCACTCTCAACCCACAACAAGAAAAAAGCTGAAAAAATGAAAAAAATTCAACATCAGCAATTCTCAGATACATTAAATCATCAAAGTTTGGGCAAACCAATTCTGAAAAACTGCAGATAGGCAAAAAAGACAATTACAAATTACCAAGAGCAGAAGCTGCTAGAGACAGTAACTACAGGCACACCTCATTTTATTGCACTTCACATTATTGTGTGTTGCAGATACTGTGCTTTTTACAAATTAAAAGTTTGTGTGGCCGGGCGCAGTGGCTCACGCCTGTTATCCCAGCACTTTGGGAGGCCAAGGCGGGCGGATCACAAGGTCAGGAGATGGAGACTATCCTGGCTAACACCGTGAAACCCCGTCTCTACTAAAAATACAAAAAATTAGCCAGGCGAGGTGGCGCATGCCTGTAGTCCCAGCTATTTGGGAGGCTGAGGCAGGAGAATGGTGTGAACCTGGGAGGCGGAGCTTGCAGTAAGCCGAGATCGCACCACTACACTCCAGCCTGGGCAGCAGAGTGAGACTCTGTCTCAAAAAAAAAAAAAAGTTTGTAGGTATTCTGCCTGAGTCAAGCAAGTCTATTGGTGCAATTTTTCCAACATGTGCTCACTGTATCTTTTTGTCATATTTTGGTAATTCTCACATTATTTCAAACTATTATTATTATTATTATCTGTTGTGGTGATCTGTAATCAGTGATTTTTGATGTTAATATTTCAACTGTAATCACCAAGTAAGACAAATACTTTAATTGATAAATATTTTTGTTTTCTGATTGTTCCACCAATTGGTCATTCCCTTGTCTCTCTGCTTCTCATTGGGCTTCCCTATTCCGTGAGACACAACAATATTAAAATAAGTCAACTGACTTTTATCCAAAAGACAGGCAACAAGAAATACTAGTGAGGATGTGGAGGAACGGGAACCCTCATATATTGTTGGTGGAAATGTAAATTAGTACAACCACTATGGAGAACAGTTTGGAGGTTTCTCAAAAAAACTAAAAATAGAGCTACCATGTTACCCAGGAATCACACTGCTGAGTATATACCCAAAAGAACAGAAATCAGTCTATCAGAGAGATACCTACACTCCCATGTTTACTGCAGCACTATTCACAATAGTGAAGATTTGGAAGCAACCTAAGTGTCCATGAACAAATGAATCTCAATGAACAGGAGAATTTAGTACTTATACACAATTAAGTACTATTTAGCCATAAAAAAGTATGAGATCCTGTTATTTGCAACAATGTAGATGGAGTTGGAGATCATTATGTTTAGTGAAATAAACCAGGCACAGAAAGACAAACTTTGCAAGTTCTTACTTATTTGTGGAAGCTAAAAGAAAACAATGGAACTCATGAAAATAGAGAGTAGAAGGAAGGCTACCACAGGCTGAGAAGGGTAGTTGAGGGGAGCAGTGGAAGAAAAGTGGGGATAGTTAATGGGTACAAAAATACTTAGAAAGAAAGAATAAGAACTAGTATTTGATAGCACAGCAGGGTGACTATAGTCAATAACAATTTAATTATACATTTTAAAATAACTAAACGAGTGTAATAGGATTATTTGTAACATAAAGAATAAAAGCTTGACATGATGGATACCCCATTTACCCTAATATGATTATTACACATTGCATGCTTGTATCAAAATATCTCATGTACCCTATAAATATATACACTACTATGCACCCACAAAAATTAAAAATTAACATTTAAAAATGGCCAATTGATAACTCTTCAATGATTTTTTGGTGTTCAAGTAAAAAAAAGAGAGTCACAGATCTCACTTTAACTCAAAAGCTAGAAATTATTAAGCTTAGTGAGGAAGACATGTTGAAAGCCAAGATAGGCCAAAAGTTAGGCCTCTTGTGCAAAATGGTTAGCTAAGCTGCAAATGCAAAGGAAAAGTTCTTGAAGGAAATTAAAAGTGAGATTCCAGTGAACACACACAAATGACAAGAAAGCAAACAGTCCTATTGTGGAAATGGAGAAAAAACTGAGTGGCCTGGATAGAAGATCAAACCAACCACCACATTCCTTTAAACCAAAGCCTAATCCGGAGAAATGCCCTAACTCTCTTTAATTCTAGAAGCCCAAGAATGGTGAGCCATCAGCAGAAGGAAAGTTGGTAGCTAGCTGAGGTTGGTTCATGAGGTTTAAAGAAAGAAGCTGATGTAGGATTTCTTCTCCTTAGCTCAGCTAGGTCTGGGTTCTTGTCTCATGACCAGGAAAAATTAGGCGCATGGACACCAGAGGGTGAGTGGAATATAATTTATTAAGCAAAAGGAAGCTCTCAAGCAAAGAGAGGGTCTTGAAAGTAGGTTTCTGGTTGCCCCCCTTCATAGTTGAATGCTAGGGTTTAAGGCACAAATTCCTAGTGGCTCCACCCCATCCTTCCAGTGTGCATGTGGGCCCTTAGACTGAGCTGCTCCACGCTGATTTATTTCCTTTACTCTGTATGTGTGAAGAAACAAAATGTTTCAATATGGGCATTTTTAGGCAAGGCTCCTGTGCAAGTTCCCTTACCTGTACAAAATATCTGCTATAAGCACTTGTCTGGTGGGTCAGAGGTTCTCAGGGACCTTTCCCTTACTGTAGGCCTAAAGCAAGCTAACTAACTCCTTTAAAGCCATCTCTATAACATAAAAGTACAAAGTGAAGCAGCAGATGCTGATGTAGAAGATACAGCAGGTTATCCAGAATATCTAGGTAAGGTTATTGATAAAGATGGCTATACTAAATAAAAGATATTAAATGTAAAGGAAGTAGCCTAATATTGGAAAAAGATGCAATCTAGGACTTTTAGAGCTGAGGATGAGAAATCAATGATAGCTTCAAAGCTTTAAAAATAAAGCTGAATCTCTTGTTAGTGACTAATGTAGCTGTGACTTAAGTTGAAACCAATGACCCTTTGCCATTCCAAAAATCCTAGGCCCCTTAAGAATTATGTTATGTTATTTTTTTGTTTGTGCTCTATAAATGAATGGAACAAGAAAGCATGGATATGAGCATATGTATATGTTTAGCATGGTTAACTGAATGTTTTAAATTCATCATTGAGACATACTGCTCAGAAAAATATTCCTTTCAAAATATTACTGCTCATTGACAAAGCATATAATCACTCAAGAGCTCTGATGGAACTGTACCAGAAGATCTATGTTATTTTTATGCCTGCTAACACAACATCTATTTGGTAGCCCATGGCTCAAGAAATAATCTTGACCAGGTGCAGTGGTTCACACTCAGCACTTTGGGAGGCCGAGGTGGGTGGATCACCTGAGGTCAGGAGTTCAAGACCAGCCTGGCCATTATGGTGAAACCCCATCTCTACTAAAAATACAAAAATTAGCTGGGCGTAGTGTCAGGTGCCTGTAATACCAGCTGCTCAGGAGGTTGAGGCAGGAAAGTCACTTAAACCTGGGAGGCAGAGGTTGCAGTGAGCCAAGATCATGCCATTGCACTCCAGCCTGGGCATCAGAGTAAGACTCTGTCTCAAAAATAAATAATTTTGACTTTCAAGTCTTATTATTTAAGAAATATGTTTGTAAGGCTATAGCTGCCATAAATAGTGATTCCTCTAATGGATCTAGACAAAGTAAACATAAAGTCTTCTGGAAAGGATGCATCAGCCTAGATGGCATTAAGAAGATCTGTGATTCATGAAATGAGGTAGAAATATCAATGTTAACAGGAGGTTGGAAGAAGCTGAATCCAACCTCCTGGAATGACTGTGGTGGTTGCAATTCTTCAGTGGATTAAGGAACTACAGATGCAATAAGAATAGCAAGAGAACTACAATAAAAATTGGAGCCTGAAGCTGTTTGCTAAATTGCTGAGATCACATAAGAACGTGTTAATGGATGAGCAATTGCTACTTAAAGATGAGCAAAGAAAAGTGGGTTGTTGAGATAGAAGCTACTGCTGATGAAGATGCTGTGAAAACTGTTGAAATGACAAGACATAGTTAAGAATGTTACATAAGCTTGATTGATAAAGTAGCAGCAAGATTGAAGAAAATCAACTCCCATTTGGAAAGCAGTCCTACTGTGAGTAAAAGACTACCAAACACCATTGCATGCTACAGAGAAATAAAAAAAGAGACAATCAATACAGCAAACTTCATTGTTGTCTCATTTTAAGAAATTGCCACAGCTACCCAAAGGTTCAGCAACCACCACTCTGTTCAGTCAGCAGCCATCAACATCAAAATAAAACTATCTGCTACCAAATATATATATTTATAAATATATTTATATACATATTTATATATATTTATATACATATATATTTATATATCTATTTATATACATTTATATATATCTATATACATTTACATATGTATATATATTTATATATATGATTTGCTGGAGGCTCTGATGATTCTTAGCATTTTTAGCAATGAAGTATTTTTTTAACTAATGAATATACATTATGTTTTAGACATTATGTTATCGCAAACTTAATAGACAGTAGTATAAACATTTATATACATTGGGAAACCAAAAAGTTTGTGTGGCTACTTTTTTGAAATATTCGATTTATTGTGGTGGTCTGGAACTCAACTCACAATATCTGTGTGGTATGCTTCTACTAGCAAAACTAGTCGAAATACTTAAATGTCATTGAAAAATTGGTGGAGGTGAGTGTGAAGTGTTGGAGAGTTAAAAATTCCATAGTGCTGCAACTTAGGTAAGTACTCATATTCTCATGAGTTTTATCTCCAGAGGCTCTACCAAGTTTTCAAAGTGAAGAACACACAGAAAACAATAAAGTTGGTTTTCAGGCTAAGGGAGGGGAAAAAAAACTGTTTTGAAATACACCAGGAGAAAAGCAACTATTTTGAAATATGCCCAAATATTGTGTTTGTCATAACAGAGTTCTGCCCTCCAAGAAAACGACTTTTCTAGAGCCTTAGTATACATACAGGAAGGACAATTAGACAATGCTACTCCTCTAGCCTTCTGTTTTCTCATAAGGGAAGAAAATAAGAAGGCTAAGAATTCTTTTTTTGGAAGCTTACTGCCCAGGGACTCTAACATACCAAAAAAGGGAGATTAAATCATAAGATTGTAGAACATGTCTCCTTCCCAATTTACTACCACATAAATTGGGCATCAATAAAGTAACACTGGGTTACAACTGAGAGAGCTGCAAGACACAGACTGTATTTAAGGAGTTTCTAGGGAAACTTAGAGAAAACAGAGAAGACAAAACAAGGATGCTAGAGGAATTTTAAGCCTATGACATATATAGCAATAGTAAACATTAAAAACAGCCTAATTTCTAGATAAATACACATAAAATCTCACCCCAAATGCCTAATTCAGTTCATATTATCTGATACATGTCTGACTTTAATTTTAAAAAATGCAAAACTTGCTCAAAGTCAAGAAAAAGTACAGTATGAAGAAACAAATTAAACTCAGATATGGTAGAAATTTTGGAATTATCAGAGAAACTAAACTATAATTGATATATTAAAAGCACTAGTAGAAAAAGAAGTAGTCAACATTCAGGACCAGATGGGTAATTAGAGCAAAGAGATGGAAACAAAAAGTAAGAATCAAATAGAAGCACTAGAAATAAAAAACTTGGTAACAAAATGAAAAATGCTTTTCATGGGCTTATAAATTTACTGAATACAGTAAAGCAAAGAATCAGTGCCATAGAAAATATGTCAATAGAAACTTCAAAAACTGAAATGCAAAGGAAAAAAGAAAAACTAAGATCATTTAAGAACTGTGTGCCAATTGCAAAATGTGTAATATATGTATAATGGGAATAACAGAAGGAGAAAGAGCAAAGAGAGAGAAGAAATATTGTCTGAGAATTTTCACAATTAATGTAGGAAACCAAACCATACATTCAGGAAGCTCAGGTGATACAATACAGAATAAATTTTTAAAAACTTCATATGCATATCATATCCAAACTGCAAAAAAAGGACAAAAACACAATTTTGAAGGAAGCAAGAGGGAAATAAAAAACCTACCTACAGAAGAACAAGGAAAATAATTACATAAGACTTCTCTTCCGAAATCATACAAACAAGAAGATAGAGTGAAATATTTAAAGTGTTGGGGAAAAAAATCCCTCCTACCTAGAAATCTCCAGTCAATAAAATTATCCTTCATAGATGAAAATAAAATAGAGATTTTCCAAACCAAAACTAGGGAAAATTGTTGCCAAGAGACCTTCCTTGAAGAAACACTAAAAGAAGTTCTTCTGAGAGAATAAAAATGATATTAGACAGAAATTGAATCTACACAAAGAAATAATAAAAGAAAATATCTTTCTATTTTTAATTGATCTAATAGATAGCAGTTTGAAGTAATATGAACACTGTATTCAGTAATGAAAATTTACAGATAAGTGAAATTAAATACAGCAATGTCATAAGGGATGGGAGGATTAATAATATTCTGTTGTGAGGTAATTTTATTAGTTATAAATATGTATTGCAAATCTTATGCACAAACTAAATTTTAAAAAGTATTTATAAAATTGATATGCTAAAAGAGAAGAGGAAATGGAATCATATAAAATGCCCAATTAAAACCACAAAGGGCAAAATAACAGGAAAGATTTAAGAAAAAACAAAGAACTAGGTCAACAAGTAGAAAACAATATCAAACATAGTAGATATTAATCTAACTGTATCAATAGTCACTTTAAGTAAGAATGGTATAAATATACCAATTAAAAGACATAGACTGAGAGAATAAATAAAAAACAAGACCCAACCATATGTTGTCTGTAAGAAACTCACTTTAATATAAAAACAAGGATAGATTAAGTGTGAAAGAATGGAGAAAGGTAGATAACGTTAACAGTAACCCAAAGAAAGCCAGAATAGCTACGCTAATTTCAGAAAAAGTAGACATAAAAATAAGAAACTTATCAGAAACAAAGCAGGACATTATGTAATGATAAAGAGATTTATTCTCCAAGAAGACATAACAATTATTAAAGTGTATGTACCTAGCAAGAGAGCATCAAAATATGTGAACCCAAAGCTGATTGATAGAACTGCAAAGAGAAATAGACAAATTATTATAGTTGGAAAATAAAACACACCTCTGTCAATAATGGACAGGATCAGCAGGAAAAACTCAGTAAGGATACAGAATCATGCGCTGATAATGATGTTTCGGTCAATGATGATCTGCATATACTATGGTTGCCCTAAATGCTATAATAAAATATTTTTATTGTACCTTTTCAATGTTTAGATGTGTTTAGGTACATATGTACAATTGTGTTACAATTGCCTAGAGTATTCAGCATACAAACAAGCTGTACAAGTTTGTAGCCTAGGCACAAAAGGCTATATTATATACCCTAGGTATGTACTTGGCTTTATACCATTTAGGTTTGTACACTCTATGATGTTTGCAGTACAATGAAATCACCTAATGATGCATTTCTCAGAACGTATCCTCATTGTTAAGTTACACATGACTATAGTTGAACTGAGCAGCAGGACCAATCAACTGCATATCATTGACATTTACAAAATCATTCAACAGTAGTAGAACACACATTCTTCTCAATACCACAAGGAATATTCATCAAGATAGGCCGCATTCTGGGCCATAAAGTCACTTTTACAAAATTAAAAGAATAAAAGTCATACAAACTATGGTCCTAGACTACAGTGCAAATAAACTAGAAATCAATAACAGAGTGATAGCTGGAAAAACCTCAAATACATAGAGATTAAATAACATACTTTGAAATAACACATGGGTCAAAGAAGTCCCCAAATAAATTTTAAAATATTTTGAGCTAAAAGAAAATTAAAATATAACTTATCAAAATTTGTGGAATGCAGCAAAAGCAGTGCTTAAAGGAAAATGTAATCATTAAATACATGTACTAAGGAAAAAAAAAGGAGATCTAAAATCAATTATCTAAGCTTCCATTTTACCATACAAGAGATAGAGCAGTATTACACTCAAGAAAGGAGAAAGGAATTAGAAATAATATGACAAAAATCTATGAAAGGGAAATCAGAAAATCAATAGAAACATGTAATAAAATCATATAATTTGAAATCAGAAAGTGTGATGTCTCCAGCTTTGTTCTTCCTTCTCCAATAGCCAAAGCTATTTGGAGTCTTGTTGTTTCATATAAATTTCAGGATTGTTTTTTCCTTTTTCTGTGGAAAACATCATTAGAATTTTGTTAGTTATTATGTTGAATCTTTAGATCACTTTGGGATATATATATATATATAATATTGATAATATATTACATATATGTATATATAATATACAATATCCCATGCTCATGAATTGGAAGAATTAATATATACTTTGTACTGACTGGATCTTGTAGGAAAAGCTTTCAGTTTTTCATCATTGATTATGATGTTGTCTGTGAGCTTTTTATAAATGGCCTTTACTCTCCTGAGGTAATTTTCTTCTATATCTATTTTGTTGAGAGTTTTTATCACTAGTGAATGTTAAATTTGTTCAGGATTTTTCTGCATCTATTAAGAAGAAAATATGTTTTTCAATTTTTCATTTTGTTAATGTGGTATATCACCTTTACTGATTTACATGTGTTGAACCAACTTTATATCTCACTTATAAATCCCACTTGACCAGGGTGTATATTCTTTTTTTATGTGTGTTGAATTCAGTATTCTAGTATTTTATTGAGTAATTTTGCATCATTGTTTACCAGAGGCATTATTCTGTAGTTGCTTTTCTGGTGATGTATTTTTCCAGCTTTAGAAACAGAGTGGTGCTGGTCACATCAAATGGGTTTGGAAACGCTCTCCCTTCTTTTCTGTTTTGGAAGAATTGAGTAATGATTGGTATTAATTCCTTTTTAATGTTTGGTAAAACTCACCAGATAAAGCTAACTGATCTTAGGCTTTAATTTTTGGGAACTTTTTGATTACTAATACAATACCCTTATTTGTTATTTATAGGTTATATAGTTCTAAGAATTTATTCATTTCTTCTGGGTTATCCAATTTGTTAGTGTATAGTTGTTCATAAAAGTTTCTTATGATTTTTTTTATATCTGAGGCATTGTCATAATGTCTTCTTATTTATTTCTTATTTTGTTATTTGAGTCCTCTATTTTCTTAGTCTAGTTTAGGATTTGTCAATTCTGGTTTTTTTTTTTCAAAAAAAATTCAACTCAGTTTTGTTGATTTTTTTCATTGTTTCTCTATACTCTATTTGATTTATTTCTGTCCTAATATTTATTATTTTCTTCTGTCTGGTACCTCTGGGCTTAGTTTGTTCTTTTTCTAACTTCTTGAAGTGTAAATTCAGTTTGAGATTTTTTAATTTAAACGAAGGTATTTATTGCCATAAAATTTCCTCTTAATGTTGCTACTAATATGTCATTTAAATATTGATATGTTGTATCTTAGTTTTTATTTTTCTCTAAATATTTTTAAAATTTCCTCTTGATTTCCTCTTTGACCCAGTGTTTATTTAGGAAAGTATTATTCAGTTTCCATGTACTGGTGAATTGTTCCATTTTCTAGCTGTTATTGATTTGTCATTTCATTCATTAAGATTTGAAAAGATACTTGAAATAATTGTAATCTTTTAAAATTATTTGTTAAGATTTGTTTCATGATCCAACATGTGATCTACCCTAGAGAATGTTATGTGCACATTTGAGAAGAAATCTATTCTTCTACTCATGGTTGAGAATTTCTAAATATTTCTGTTAGGGTCATTTTATCTACCGCGTTGCTAAAACCCAGTTTCCACACTAATTTTCTATATAGATGTTCTATACACTTTCTGTGTCTATTTTAGAGTGTTTATGTCTTTCTATTTGTTATATCTTCCTCATGAACTGACATTTTTGTTATTATATAATGACTTCATTTCTAAATGTAGATTTTTTTTAACTCAAAGTCTATTTTGTTTGATATAAGTTTACCCAACTCTGCTTTCTTTTGGGTACCATTTAAATAAAATATCTTTCTCCGTATCTTTACTTTCAGTTTATATGTGCTTAAATTTTAAGTACTTCGTTTGTAGGCAGCAAATTACTAGTTCTTATTGGTTTTTGTTTGTTTTTTGCTTTATTTTGTTTTGTTTATTTCTCTGTGTGTATTTACTCCATCAGCCACTCTAAGTTTTTTGATTGGTGAATAATCCATTTACAAAGCTAGGTTTTTGAAGAGATCAAGAAAATTAACCTCTAGTCTAGCTAAGCAAGAAAACAAGAGACAAAAACATATTCTTAATATAGTAAAATAAAGTGAGGCTATCAGTACTGATTCTATGAGCATTAAAAGTGTGATAAGAGACTATTATGAAAAAATGTATTCTTAAAAATTAGATAACTTACATAAAATGGACCGATGTCTTAAAAGCCGTACTCCACTGAAAATCATACTAGGAGAAATGATCATATACATAGGCTTGTTTCTAAAATAAATTGGCCAATATGAAAATGCAAAACTATAAAAAAATTGAAATGATCAGTTGTTGGCAGGTGTTTGAGGAAGTGGGAAGTAGAGGAAAGGATAAATAGGTGAAGCACAGGGAATTTTACAGAGGTGAAACTATTCTCTATGATACTGTAGTGATGGATGCAGGACATTATGCATTTGCAAAACCCACAGAACTGAATAACACAAAAAGTCAACCCTAATGTAAGCAATAGACTTGTTATTGGCAATGTACCAATGTTAGCTCACACATGTGAAAAATGTACCACACTAATTTGAGATGTTAGTAATGGGGGAAACTTTAAACAGGGAAGATGTATATCAGAACTATTTGTATCATCTGCTCAACTTTTCTGTAACTCTAAAAATACTCTGAAAATTGTTCTATTAATATTTTTTAAATGTATTATAATATGCCTCCTGTCTATAAAAAGTTTGTAATTTGTTTAAGAAAATACCTCAAGGACTATGCTAACATAAGCCTGTGGAGACAGAAGAAATGTATGCACAATAATAGAGATTCACTTATAGAAATTGAGTACTTTAACCTGCTTGATCAAGTAATTTTTTCTGCAAAAATGCAATACAATTAAAACATTTAAGATGCAAATTTGATTTATGAAAATCTTCCCAATGAGAGGCAAGAGAAAGAAACCCTGTCAAATAGCCATTACTGTGAGAAGCTGGCTACTCCCATTTTCTCCCTAACTCCCTTCAAATAGTTGATGAAGTGGGAGTTATTTAATCTTCTATTTAGTAAAATAGATGATTAAAAATTTTCTGTTGAAAAGTAAAGGGAAATAAAATCCATATTAACATTTTGGCACTAATGAAAGCTCTAAATTTTAATTCACTATTAAAAGCTTAAAAATTAAAAATACTTTTCTCTCATTTTTATTGAATTAAATATTGTTTCAATGATAAAGCAAAGGGATTTTAACATGTACATTCATGAGATGTCATTGATATTTTCTCAATGTCATAATAGTCACATAATATGATTATTATGACATTTTATTTTGATTAGATAAAAACATCAATCAACTTTTTAATGAGTTGTTTCTCAATTGCTTAAATAATCTGGTTATCCTTTACAGCAGGGGTCCCCAACCCTTGAGCCACACACCAGTATCAGTCTGTGGCCTGTTAGCAACCAGGTCGCACAGCAGGAGGTGAGTGGTGGGTGAGTGAGCATTACCACCTGAGCTCTGCCTCCTGTCAGATCAACTTGGCCTCAGAATCTCATAGGAGCAAGTACCCTATTGTGAACTCTGCATGTGAGGGATGTAGGTGGTGCTCTCTGAGAATCTAACTAATGCCTAATAATCTGAGATGGAACAGTTTCATCCTGAAACCATCATCCCCAGCAGCCTCCACCACCACTGCCCCACATATGGAAAAACTGTCTTCCACGAAATTGATCCCTGGTGCCAAAAAGGTTGGGGACCACCGCCGCTTAACAGACTGTATAGTAAATATTAAATATGACAACACATTCATGATAAAGTGGTTATTAGGCACAGTCCTCAATATCACATGTATTTGCAAGATGTGAGAATGAATTAAAGAAACAGTTTTATATTCTGAATATGACTGTGTATTTAGTTGCTTCCTAGTGAGAATTCCAACAGAAGATATAATTCAACCTAGAAAAGATTGAGTCAATAAATGCCAAAGAAACAAATTAAACTTCTGCCAGACATTGATGGGTTGTGAATTTGTTTTAATTTCTAAGAAATGCTGGTGTCATTGTGAACAGCTCAATAAAGATGTCAACTTAATATTTAACAATAGCTAAACAAGATGTTTATTTGAATTTTGAAAGGCAGAAAGTATATGACACATAAGAACATACAATTATATAAAGAGAATAGCCAATGGTAATGTTTTAGTGATTGTGTTTATTATTACATATTTTCTTCATCAGAATTTCATCAGTTTTACATTCATTAGATGTACACTGAAAACTTACTTATAAAACTAGAAAAACTAGTCAGAAATAGTTCACACAAGAGATAGTTTTTGAGCCTTAATACTGTAGCAGCAGATGACAGTCAATTGTATTAAAAACATTTAAGGAAAAAAGAGCAGCACCAGCAAAATCTTAGGTATTTAAAAGCCTGTCATATTTGGAAGATAACAAGTTGCTTCATAGAGTTTCATAGAGTTTCTCTTTGTGTTACCCCAAAATAGACACAGTCAAATCACAGACTTCTCAAATTCCATGAAAGTGTTTTAAATTACATAAATACACAAATAAAAATAATGTATTTTAAGAGCTCATTGGACTGTAGGTATTGTGCTAAGCACATGGCATACCCCTAAGATAACTATATGAAGTAGATATTGTCTCTTTATTTAATGAGAAAACTAAGAAATAAAAATCATAATTTTCACAAAACCAAAAAGAGTTGATAATTATTAGCATGGCAGGAATTAAATCCAGTGTTTAACTCTAAAGGATTATATATAATGTGCCTAGAAGTTGAAAAGACACCAACAAGGCCACTTGTTTCATGCACGTAGCAAGATCTCATTGTGCATTATCTATGAACAAAGCTCTGCTTTACCAGCATTAAGGAAAATATCTATGACTCAGTAGTAGATTCTTTCCCCAGGAAGCATATTTGCTCTTCACTTTGTATATTTGTTTGTATTTTAATTTTTCATTCCCTTATATTTCTGGAGTAACGTCATATTCTCTAACTTCTTGAGACTTGTCATTAATATACATTTTTTTCTAATTTTTACATTTTACGTTATATATTCCCTTTTAAGCCCTATTTTAGCCATATCCCACAAGGTTTTTTTTTAATCATTCAGTTCAAAATAACTATCATTATTACTTGTATTTTTTAATCAATGGCTTATATGGCAAAGTATCTCATAATTGCCAATGACATATGGGCTTTTTTAAGTTTTTTTTTTAAACTTATTTCTAGTTGCATTTTACTGTGGTCAGAAATGATACAATGCGTAATATATGGTTTTGAAATTCATTGATATTTGACTTATGTATGAAGATAAGTTATTTTAAAATAGTTTATACTAATAAACTCTATAGTTTGGCTGCTAATATTCTAAATATGAAAATTATCTCAGGTTTGCTAATTTTTTTTTTCAAATCTTCCATACGCTTACTGATTTTTTGTTTGCTGGATCAATCAATTACTGATAAAGTTATGTTGAACTTTCTCACTATAATTCTAGATGTTTTTATCAGTCAATTAAAAGTAAATTATTAGGAAATATCCCTGCTCAATTCTAGTAAAGCCTTTTAATATAAACTTTATTTTCTTTCACTTTGACACAATGTATTGGTGTTTGCATAATACGTATTATTTCTTTTGTTACTTTCAGCCTTCTGAATCCTTATGTTTTACACGTATGAAGTCTGTTTTAAAGAACATGGTAGGCTATCTAACAGAAACTCACTTTATCTATAATAACACACATAGACTTACAGTGTAGGGATGAAGAAAGAAATTCCACACAATGTAAACAAAAAAGAGCAAGAATAGCTCTACTGATATCAGATAAAACAGATTTCAACTCAAAAACTTAAGAAAAACAAATTAAGTTATTATGATAAAGAGGTCAGTTCAGCAAAAGAATACACCAATTACAAATATATATTCACTCAACACTGGAACACCCAAATATATGTAGCACATTTTAATGAGTCTAAAGAGAGAGATAAACTACAATACTGTCATAGTAAGCAACTTCAATGTCCCACTTTCAGCAATGGACAGATCATTTAGGTAGCAAATCCATCAAGAAACATCAGAGTTAAACTACATTCTGGATCAAACAGACCTAACTGACATTTACAGAACATTTCACCCAACTGCTGCAAAATGCACATTATTTTCATCAGCACATAGAACATTCTCCTGGATAGACTATATGTTAGGTCATAAAACAAGCCTCAAAAAACCCAAAATTTGATTTCTATCAAGATTCAACCATGAATAAATAGAAAACCTGAACAGAACAATATTGAGTTAAAAGATCATAGCAGTTATTAAATGGTCTCCGATTAAAAAAAAAAAAGTTGAGAACCTGATGGCTTTATTGCTGAATTCTGCCAAACATTTAAAGAACTAGTACCATTTCTACTCAAACTATTTCAAAAAATTGAAGAGGAGAAAATGCCTCCAACTCACTCTATGAGACCAGTATTATTCTGACAGCCAAATCATACAAAAGAACAACAACAACAACAAAAGAAAGATACATGCCAAAAGAAGAGATCACTCACCATGACCAAGTGATACTCATTCCAGGAATGCAGGGATGCAAGGATGGTTCAAAATACACACATTAATAACCATGATACATTACATTAATGGAATCGAGGACAAAACCATAGAATTATTTTCAGTAATAATTTAAAAGTCATTGATAAAATTAAACATCCCTTCATGATAAAAACTATCAACAAAATGGTTTTATAAGGAATATACTTTTTAAAAAATAAAGGTCATATATATCACAAACCCACAGCTAATGTAATATGGAACATGGAAATATTGAAAGCCTCCCCTCTAGGATTGGGAATAAGATAAGGATTTTACCACTTTTACCATTTTTATTCAACATAAACCTGAAAGTGCTAGCCAGAGAAATTAAGCAAAAGACAGAAATAAAGGCCATCTAAATTGTAAAATAAGAAGTCAAACTGCCCTTGCTTATAGAAAATATGATCTTATACAGAAAACTTAAAGTTTTCTGTATAAACCAAAAAATAGTAGAACTGATAAATAAATTTAGTCAACATAAAAAAACTAATAGCATTTCTATATGCCAACAGCAAACAATCTTAAATGTAAATCAAGGCAGCAATCCCATTTACAATAGCTACAAAAAATAAAATACCTATAAATATATCCGAGGAGGTGAAAGATCGCTACAATGAAAATTATAAAAATACTGATAAAAACAACTGAAGAGGAATGAAAAAGGAAAGATAACCCATGTTTATGAATTGGAATAATTAGTACTGTAAAATGTCACAATGTCCAAAGCAATTTACATGTGCACTGCAATTCCTGTCAAAATACTAATAGCATTCTTCACAGAAATATAAAAAAAATCCTCAAATTTGTATGTTATCACAGAAGATCTTGAATACCAAAGCAATCCTGAGCAAAAAGAACAGAATTGGAGGCATTACACTATCTGACTTCAAAATACAGAACAAAGCCATAGTAGCCATACTATAATAGCATGGTTCTGGAATAAAAACAGATACACAGATCAATGGAACAGAATAGGGAACACAAAAATAACTCCACATATTGAGAGCCAACTCATTTTTAACAAAGGTACCAAGAGCACACATTGGGGAAAGTACAGTTTTTTTTATAAACCTTGCTGGGAAAACTAGATATTAATATGTAGAACAATAAAACTAGACTCCTGTCTCTTATCATATACAAAAATCAGCTCAAAGTTGATTAAAGACATTTAAAACCTGAAACTATGAAACCACTAAAAGAATCCATTAGAGAAGTGTTTCAGGTCATTGGCCTGGGCAAAATTTTTTTTGGCCAGGTAACTGGTCAAGTAGAAGCACAAGTAACTGAAGCAAGAATAGACAAAGAGAATTATATTAAACTAAAAAGCTTCTGGACCATAGAGGAAATAATCAACAAAGTGAAGAGACACTCTACACAATGGGAGGAATTGTTTGCAAACTATCCATTTGGTAAGAGATTAGAAACCAGAATATAAAAGGAACTCAAGCAACTCAACAGCAAAAAACAAATAACGTGATTTTTTTTAAATGACAAATCATCAGAATAGGCATTATCTAACAAAGACATACAAATGACCAACAGGTATATTAAAAATGCTAATTATTAATCATCAGGATAATGCAAATCAAAACCACGATGAGATTGCACCTCACCCCAATCAGAATGATAAGTATCAAAAAGACAAAAAGTAACAAATGCTGGCAAGGATGCAGAGAAAGGGAAATTCTTATAAACATTATGGAAAACAATATGGAGTTTCCTGAAAAAACTAAAAATGGAGCTACCATATGATCCAGTAATCTCATTACTGGGTATATAACCAGAAGAAAGGAAATCTGTATGTTGAAGGGACTTGTCTTTAGGTGTGACATATCTAGAAATATTTATACCCAGAGACTATAAATACATATAATATGCTGGAAAAAATTAAGTACATAATACCAGACAACGCAATATGAAAAGGAAGGCAGTAAGTAAAACCTAAGTTGAGGAGACTGGGCTGTACCTGATGTATGATAAATTGATAGAATACTTCCCTCTACAGAAAAAAAAATCTGTGAAATACTATGAGTGATGTAAACACTATTTAATGATTTTGGACTTGTAGACTCAATTTTTTAAAAGTGCATGTTTTCTTATATTTATGAAACGCTTGTAAGTATTATCAACCTTGACGACATTAAAGTAAAACCAGAGGTGACAGGAGTTGAGAAGATAAAGTGGGAAGTCAAAAGACGATGTGTTTGATTAAGGACCATATTTAGGGCAGTATTTTGAAACATCTTTACATTACAAAATAAAAAAATGTATCTATTCCATTAACACTGGATTAATGGATGAGGCTGCTATTCACTGCTGGAGGCACTCTCTCTGTGAACCCTGGCTACCCAAGGCCTGACCTGGCAGAAAGCCTACACACCATTCATGGCACACTGGCTGTTAAGTTCTACTTAATTTATGGATGTAATAGAGGCTTTCAAAATGGTTATATACAAGAGAATGGAAGAGTTGAGTGATGTTAACCTTCATCTATCAGATTATTTTAACCCTCCCCTATCAGAACATGAAACCAGAACTCGTCATCAAATAGTTTAAGCATATTATTTAAACTCAAAATATGGACATAAAAATTGAAAACAATATCAAAAGGACTCAAAAATAAAAATAGCAAGATGTTTTTGCTTTTGAGAAGTAGTAATGAAGATGAAGAGGCCTATAATTTTCATTAAAAGCTCTTCTATGTTCCTTATGATTTTTTAATCCTATATACACATAACTTTCTGACTAAACAATTACCTGTTAGATAAAAGAACATTTTTAGGTATGTACAATATTAGGTAAAAAATAATAATTCTAAAAAGGGTATAAATAAAATGTGGAAAAACACAGTAATTACTATGTTGCCAAAACAAACTCTTTAAAGTAAAAATGTAAAATCTCAGGAACATATATTAATTCAGGCTTTTCTGGGAACTGGGACAAAATGCTGTAGAAAGTACATAGAATGTGTAACTGATATTCCTTGGACCAGAACAAAACCCCTGACTTTCAGATGTTGCGAGAGATGTAAATAACAATTTTCCCTATTCAGCTTCAAAGCCTTCCATGGAAACACTGAAAAGAAAAAAAAGAAAAGAAACAAACAAACAAAACTCCTGGTTCCTCATCTTTCATCCTCCATCTCCCCAGCAAAAAAAAAAAAAAAAAAAAAAAGTATCTCAAAAGGCAGATAATCACAGTTCTTACCATCTTACTAACACGTTAGTGATGATGTAAGAAAACCTTTTTCTATCTCTTTCTTGTAGGAGGGATTTATCTTCAAAAGAAGATAGAAAACAATAGTTGTAAATAAACAGCAAAATATTTAATTTCCTAAAAATAGGAGTGTTTAGGAAAAATAGAGTGCATATTTTCTACTCTATTGTTTAGACAATAAAGTACAAATCATGGTATTTTACTTGCATTCAGATTAATTCTTCCACTGTCTTTGAACAGACTAATGCTTCAATTATTGGTACATTTTCAGTTAGATATAATTTTTCTTCATTAGAAGCATGAACCATCACCCAAATTTTTAAAAATATCATTTTCTCAAATAAAAATCATAGACTTAAATGCTAGGAAAAATGATAGATGAGAAGTCACCATGAATTCATTAGCATTAGATATTTAAGAAAAAGAATGAATGTTAGGTAGACTCCAGGGGAAGATAGAAGTTTCCTAACCAAATGGAAAGAGATTATTGAAAATTTCCTTGTTGTCTAATACAGTCTTTATTCACCCAATTATTTTTAAAAACTTTTTGTAGTTCTTCCACATATTCCACATGTAGAGACTTCCACACATTTTAAAAATAACACCAGGGAAATAGAATGTAGTAAACTAAGACATAACTAAACTTTTCTGTTTTAGTCAGGGACAAAAATAGAGGACATGATATTATTCTTATTTAAATTACAGCCCAAGAGGTGTTTATTTAGTCTTTCCTTTTCTTTTCTCTCTCTTTTTTTTTTTATTATACTTTATGTTTTAGGGTACATGTGCACAACGTGCAGGTTCGTTACATATGTATACATGTGCCATGTTGGTGTGCTGCACCATTTAACTCGTCATTTAGCATTAGGTATATCTCCTAATGCTATCCCTCCCCTGTCCCCCCACCCCCCAGCAGGCCCTGGTGTGTGATGTTCCCCTTCCTATGTCCATGTGTTCTCATTGTTCAATTCCCACCTATGAGTGAGAACATGCGGTGTTTGGTTTTTTGTCCTTGCGATAGTTTGCTGAGAATGATGGTTTCCAGTTTCATCCATGTCCCTACAAAGGACATGAACTCATCATTTTTTATGGCTGCGTAGTATTCCATGGTGCATGTGTGCCACATTTTCTTAATCCAGTCTATCGTTGTTGGACATTTAGGTTGGTTCCAAGTCTTTGCTATTGTGAATAGTGCCGCTATAAACATACGTGTGCATGTGTCTTTATAGCAGCATGATTTATAATCCTTTGGGTATATACCCAGTAATGGGATGGCTGGGTCAAATGGTATTTCTAGTTCAAGACCCCTAAGGAATCGCCACACTAACTTCCACAATGGTTGAACTGGTTTACAGTCCCACCAACAGTGTAATAGTGTTCCTATTTCTCCACATCCTCTCCAGCACCTGTTGTTTCCTGACTTTTTAATGAGCACCATTCTAACTGGTGTGAGATGGTATCTCACTGTGGTTTTGATTTGCATTTCTCTGATGGCCAGTGATGGTGAGCATTTTTTCATGTGTTTTTTGGCTGCATAAATGTCTTCTTTTGAGAAGTGTCTGTTCATATCCTTCGCCCACTTGTTGATGGGGTTGTTTGTTTTTTTCTTTGAGTTCATTGCAGATTCTAGATATTAGCCCTTTGTCAGATGAGTAGGTTGCAAAAATTTTCTCCCATTCTGTAGGTTGCCTGTTCACTCTGATGGTAGTTTCTTTTGCTGTGCAGAAGCTCTTTAGTTTAATTAGATCCCATTTGTCAATTTTGGCTTTTGTTGCCATTGCTTTTGGTGTTTTAGACATGAAGTCCTTGCCCATGCCTATGTCCTGAATGGTATTGCCTAGGTTTTCTTCTAGGATTTTTATGGTTTTAGGTCTAACATTTAAATCTTTAATCCATCTTGAATTAATTTTTGTATAAGGTGTAAGGAAGGGATCCAGTTTCAGCTTTCTACATGTGGCTAGCCAGTTTTCCCAGCACCATTTATTAAACAGGGAATCCTTTAGTTTCTAAGTAACTACCAATTGTCTTCCAAAGTGGCTGTACCATTTGCATTGCCACTAGCAATAAGTGACATTTTCTGTTGCTCTGCATTCTCAAAAGCATTTGACACTGTCAGTGTTTTAGATTTTAGCCATTGTAGAAGATGTGTAGTAGTACCTCATTTTTAAAATTTGCGAGGCTTTAATGACATATAATGCAGAACATCTTTCCATATGCTTATTTGTCATCTATATATCTTCTTTAGAGATATTTTTCACAATTTTAAATGAGTTTTTTATTTTATGTTAAGAATTTGTGTATATTTTGGATACCAGTCCTTTAATAAATATGTGCTTTGAATAGATTTATCCAATCTATGGTTTGTCTTTTCATTCTCTTACCAGTGTCTTTCACAGAGAAAAAAATATATATATTTTAATGGAGTCTAACTTGTAGTTGTTTTCTGGCATCATGTTTTGTTGTTGTATCTAAATATCAGTTGCTAACTGCAATAACACCAGGTATTCTTCTATATTATCTTCTAGGAGGCTTATAATATTGTATTTTACATTAGCTCTATGATCCATTTTGAGTTAATTTTTGTGAAAGGTTAAGGCCTATGTCTAAATTTGTTTCATTTGGATGCAATTGTTTCTGTTGAAAGGGCAGCGCTGAATTCCCTTTCCTCCCTTTTTAAAGATCAGTTCACTATATTTTTTGCTCTCTATTATATATCATTGATCTAGTTTTCTCTTCTTCTGCCAAAACCACACTTTCTTGGTTATTGTAAACCAAATCTTATAAAATTATTACATTAATTTTAGGAGCCAGATTGTGTCAGTCCTCTAATTTGTTCCCCTTCAATATTGTGTTAGCTATTTTGCATCATTAGCCTTCTCATATTAACTTTGAAGTCTGTTGATATTCACAAAATCACTTGCTTCATATACATGCATATGAAATATCTTTCCATTGACTTAGATCTTTAATTTCTTTCATCAGACTTGTAGTTTTCCTCATATAGCTTTTATAGATATTTTATTATATTTAAACCTAAGTATAGTATGAGGTTTTATGTTTATCTGTCTAATAGACTGTTAACGTTTACTGTAACTATAGGTCTCATAGATTAAAGTTTTCTCTAGTAAGTTGATTTATTTTCCCATATTGTCTTTGGATGTCCCTAAAGATTCTTTCTTAAATAAGATTTGAGATAAACATCTTTTTCAGTTGTAATCCCTTATTATACAGGGGCTCCATTAAGGTTGTGGTAAAATGTGGAGAGTGAAAAATTTCTGTAGCTTATGTTGAGTTCCCAGTTTTTTGATGAGCCAGTGCTCCTTGCATGTTAACTTCATAAGTGTTCTTATTTTTCACTCTATAGGTAAGACTAAGAAAGACAGGAGTTGAAAATTTCTCTTTGCCCAAATAGAAGATTAGAGGAGACTAATCTTCTAATCTTCATTGGGCACTTCCCTTACACCATGCTAGAACATGCTAGCATTGAATACTTCCCTTTCTGAGGACTAGGGAGGCTGTGGTAAAACTATAGTTGTTTATATTTTGCTAAAATAGTTTCCCTTGAGAAAAGATCTTGATGAGGAGAACAGATTGCTCTGAGTGTATATTGAAAAGGCTACTTCACTGTGAGAGTCTAGTAGGATTCTTGGAGGTAAAGTTCCCAAAGTTGTTGATTTTCATAGTAGTGGGGCGGGGGGGGGGGTCCCTCTGGAGATTTTTAACTTTTGCTAAACTGATCCACACGGAGTCTCTAGCAATTCATAAATTATAGTTTAAGTTTTCCCATCCCTGTACAGGCTCCAGAGGTAGCTTCTGCTTCTAGGCTTTTGTTTCCATAAATTGTGATTATCTGTAATAATCTCAAATTTTGGGTATAGTGGTTTGTCCCATGACCTCAATTCTCTGACATATCTAAGAAGAGTTACTAGTTTTATTCTGGAAAGAGTTATCTCTGTCTTTGGTATTCCAGAAAGAAAAGATAAAGAATAAAAGATCACAAATGAGAAAAAAGATATTAATTGATTTTTAACAAAAGCTGATATGACATGCATTCTCAACTATATGAATTATAAAACATATAAAGCAGAATACATTTAAAAAAATCCATGCCTGAATCATTTTAGTGAAACTGCAAATATGAAAAGCAACAAGAAAATGTTAAAAGTAGCCAGGAAGAAGAGAAAGAACACCCAGGAGAGACATAATTAGATCCAGTTAGGTCTCTCAACAAAAACAATGAATGCCAGAAACAAGAGAATAAAAGGTGAATAATAATGGAGGTGGTTGTCAAAGGTGCCAATATTTCCTTCTGTAATGTTTGAGTTTTCTAAAATAAATATGGTTATATGATATAAAATTGAGATTAAGTTAAAAACAGAAAAATCTCTCTCTCTCTCTCTCTCTCTCATATTTAAAACACAAGAAATTATACTAACAGTACTTAGACAAAGCTCCCTGGCAAGTGAAATATGTTTTGAAGATGAAATTCTTTTGATGTTTGTGTCTTTCTAAAGAATTTGGTGGAGAAATAGAATTTTTATCTTTATCTTAATTTTGCTTGTTAGCACAGTTAAGATTATCAAGATAATTAGTATATTCCCCTTGATTTTTCTAGTTGTCATGTTGATCCTTAGCAATATGTAACAACTTTTTGTTCACAAATAACAATTCTTTACTTTAACTTTCTTTTCTTGAAAGTGGAAGATTTTGTACTAATAATGATACTTATGTCACTGCAAATTTGGCTTACATCTTAAAATATTAGTCATAGTATTGACTGAAAGAATAGTTATATATTTTAATTTTCTAATTAAATTCTTCTAATTAAATTTTGCAGCATATTTTTTACCTTTGTCTAAATTTTATATATATGATCTGTATCCAACTTTTATTTTTCTTAACATTATTTTTCATCCTTTATGTAGTTAAATGATATTATATAATTACAATAATTTATTCTAGACCTTAGACAGTTTTATATTGTATTTCAAAGTAAATAATATTTTGAGCTCAGAATGCAAATAAACAGTAGCAATTCAAAATTATAGTGTCAGAGCCAATACATAATTTTACTCTTTAGTGTAGCTAAAATAAGTGCTTTCCATCCACATTATATTCTTCAGATATAAGTTAGATTCATTTATTTACTTTAGATCTAAGCAATTATATTAGGCAGAGTTCTCCAGAGACACAGAAGCAATAGGTTATGCACATGTATAGGACAAGGCTTATTATAAGATATTGGCTCAGGTGATTATGAAGACTAGCAAATTTGAATATGTAGTATGGGCCAGCAGGCTTGAGATGCAGGAGAGTCAATGGTGCGCATGAACTGCAAAGGCCATCTGCTGGAGAATTCCCTCTTGCTGGAGAGGTCAGTCTTTTTGCTTTAGGGAGACCTTCATTTGACTGGAAGAGGCCTACCCACACTATATAGGACAATTTGCTTACTCTAAGTCCATCCATCAATTTAAATGTTAGTCTCACCCCAAACCCTCTCCAAGTTGACACACAAAATTAACCATCATAGTAATGTACTGCAGTCAAGATTTTGCGTCAGCATTTGAACATTTTATAATTCACAAAATTGTAAAATATTCTATTTAATGATATTTTTATTTATTTCATACATTATTTTCAACAATTACACCACCACATACAATTATCCTTAAACAATATCTTAATCTCATCTATGGCATTAAGCTTTTATTTTATATATTTTTTATCTTTCTTTTTACTTGTATTTTCCAAGAATTATGTGTTCTAATATTTCTGGTCAAAATTTATTCATCAGTTTCCCCCCTTAGCCTATCTTTTGAGAAGTTTTATTATTATTGATAATTTAAAATTTTTATTTCTAAAATCTCTAATAAATTATTTCTTCATGGTCAGAAAACTTTTATCGCTGAAAATATTTTAGATTATTCCTTTGGTTATGTGATTAGCTCTTTTTAATAAAGTACAAATCTTTCTGGGTATGTCTTCTCTTTCATTGTTGGGTACTCTTAAGAATGCCATAACTCTTGATTGGGAAACTGAGCTTACTCACAAAGTTTTCAGTAGTTTCGGCTTCCATAGCCTACAAGGCTTGAGCTCAACCCTGCATTCAGTTAAAATGATGATGGACAGGATTTTCCACATAGGGGATATTTTTCATCACTTTCGATCTCAAATAAAACATTTATTAATGTTAAGTTTCTGGTAAAACTGTGTATATTACACTATTTCATATTCTTCTGTTTCCTCTGGTTGTTCCTTCTGCCCAAATTGCTTCTTTAATAAAGTAATACCTATTAAATACCTAATATATTTGAACGATATTATATTAGGTATATGAATAAGAAATAATAAAAAAGTCTTAATTGTATTAAATTTAGTATTCGTCACTCTTCAAGATTTGAGTGGGTGTCATCTCCTCTAGAAATCTTCATTTGAATTATTATGTCGAAAGTATTTGCTTATAAGTCTCTTGCCTCCATTTCACTATAGTTCTAATTCAAGTACCATGGTTTAATAGTCAGGTCTCTACACTTGTCGGAATTAAGTAAATACTTATAAAGTTCAATTGAAGGTAACTGTAACAGGTGAAGTTACAGTAACTTCTTTGGCTAACTAATATTTAAGTTGTGCTAAACTAAAATTTCAACTACTTTTTTTTACTCCAACTCAGAGAATACGACTTTACCAAATTTTATATAAAGTTTTAATTAAATCTTTACATGTGACTTAATTCACTCATGACTAGACTGATGAGTGTGTTGAATGGAATAATATGTAATGACTTTTGTAGGACTGACATAAATTAAAAGCTAAAATGGAAACGCAGAGTTAATGTACAAAAATAAGAAGGTAGTTTCACCAACCTCCTAGTTACTTGTCAGAAAGGTAAAGAACCTCCACTGTTGCCCAGTTTATATGAAAATTTTATAGTACATTTCGTAGACACCCATTTGAGAGAAGATTTTAATTTAGTAATATTTTCCATGAAAAATATTTTTACCAAACAAACAACTAAATCATTGTTGATCTGGCAATAACAAATCATACATCACAGAAGAGATATCCTGGAAGTGATATGGATATTATAGTTTTCTGGAATGTGTACAGAAATTATGATCACTGGCCAGTCGTGGTGGTTCACGCCTGTAATCCCAGCACTTTGGGAGGCCGAGGCGGGCAGATCATGAAGTCAGGAGTTCAAGACAAGCCTGACCAACATGGTGAAACCCTGTCTCTACTAAAAGTACAAAAATTAGTCAGGTGTGGTGGCACGGGTCTGTAATCCCAGCTACTCAGGAGGCTGAGACAGGAGAATTGCGTGGGCCTGGGAGGCGGAGGTTGCAGTGAGCCAAGATTGTGCTACTGCACTCCAGCCTGGGCAACAGTGAGACTCTGTCTCAAAAAAAGAAAAAAAAAAGGATTCATTGATCACTTCCTCCATTGAATATAATCAACTTTATTTAGTTTTCAGGGTATTTTCATAGAGAAAATTTTCGATGGCCACGTTTTCAGCACTGAAAAAATAAAAAGTGATTTTTTTCAGGTATTTTCAATGCCAGAATTTTTCTAAATGAAATCAAAACACATAAACCTAGAAAAATAAATATGCACATATAAAAAACACACTAGAACTTGAACCTACTGCCTCTGATTTTTATAGTTATATCTTTCAATTACATCCCAATGAAATCTGCAAATATTTTATTAAAATTTTAACTCTCATTTGTATCAAAGTTGACACACAAAAAAGATAGCTACTGCTTTCGAAGTTATTGATAAAGTTAAAAAATTACGAAATTGGCCTGTAATACCAAGTGAAATTACTTCTTTCCTTATAATACTAATAACAATTAAAATGAGCTGAGTTACATATTAGCTTATGTAAAAAATTTTCTGCTTTAGTATTATGTAAGTCAAATTAATTTGAATACTCTTGTAGTACATTTTGGAGACTGTAGATTAAATTTAAAATAAGTTTCTAAAGAAATTTTCTAACAAAATTACAGTTAATTTCTATCTACCTAATTTAATATATGCTTTCACAAGACAAACATCATGTAATAACTTCCTAAGTCCCTAGCCTGACATATGTCTGATTTTGTTCCTATGGTTTTTACTTACCTCTGCAACTGATTAGAATTATACTTTTTAATGTTTTACAGCTACTATGCAATTAGAGTAACCAAATTAGCTTTTTACTTACAATGCTTTTTCTCCCTTTGCACTTCAACTATCTTCACTTTTTCAAGTTTATTGTAAGGTGACATAGTACATTCAATTCCTGGAATAATTTATACTGGACATACAAATCAACTTGATTTAAAATAGTTCACATAAAACATACTAAGATTACCTATCTCCAGGGTATGTTTTAATGAAGGTTCCACTATCAGAAAAAAAAATAATAGAGAACATTAAAATCCTACAGAGTGGCAGGGCAGGGAGGGGTCACCCAAAATGCATGGATCAGGATATAAAATAACTTTGATTCCACTAATAACGAAATGCTCTATTCTTCATTAATGAACTGTTTCAGATAACCCTAAGTTACTTGTTGGGTACCGCTTTTCTTTTTTTTTTTTTTATTATACTTTAAGTTTCAGGGTACATGTGCACAACTTGCAGGTTAGTTACATACATATACATGTGCCATGTTGGTGTGCTGCACCCATCAACTCGTCATTTAACACTAGTATATCTCCTAATGCTGTCCCTCCCCCCTCTCCCCAACCCACAACAGGCCCTGGTGAGTGATGTTCCCCTTCCTGTGTCCATGTGTTCTCATTGTTCAATTCCCACCTATGAGTGAGAACATGCGGTGTTTAGTTTTTTGTCCTTGCGATAGTTTGCTGAGAATGATGGTTTCCAGCTTCATCCATGTCCCTACAAAGGACATGAACTCATCATTTTTTATGGCTGCATAGTATTCCATGGTGTATATATGCCACATTTTCTTAATCCAGTCTATCATTGTTGGACATTTGGCTTGGTTCCAAGTCTTTGCTATTGTGAATAGTGCTGCAATAAACATACGTGTGCATGTGTCTTTATAGCAGCATGATTTATAATCCTTTTGATATATATCCAGTAATGGGATTGCTGGGTCAAATGGTATTTCTAGTTCAAGATCCCTGAGGAATCGCCACACTGACCTCCACAATGGTTGAACTAGTTTACATTCCCACCAACAGTGTAAAAGTGTTCCTATTTCTCCACATCCTCTCCAGCACCTGTTGTTTCCTGACTTTTTAATGATCACCATTCTAACTGGTGTGAGATGGTATCTCATTGTGGTTTTGATTTGCATTTCTCTGACGGCCAGTGATGATGAGCATTTTTTCATGTGTCTTTTGGCTACATAAATGTTTTCTTTTGAGAAGTGTCTGTTCATATCCTTCGCCCACTTTTTGATGGGGCTGTTTGTTTTTTTCTTGTAGATTCGTTTGAGTTCATTGTAGATTCTGGATATTAGCCCTTTGTCAGATGAGTAGGTTGCGAAAATTTTCTCCCATTTTGTAGTTTGCCTGTTCACTCTGATGGCAGTTTCTTTTGCTGTGCAGAAGCTCTTTAGTTTAATTAGATCCCATTTGTCCATTTTGGCTTTTGTTGCCATTGCTTTTGGTGTTTTAGACATGAAGTCCTTGTCCATGCCTATGTCCTGAATGGTATTACCTAGGTTTTCTTCTAGGGTTTTTATGGTTTTACGTCTAACATTTAAGTCTTCAATCCGTCTTGAATTAATTTTTGTATAAGGTGTAAGGAAGGGATCCAGTTTCAGCTTTCTACATATGGCTAGCCAGTTTTCCCAGCACCATTTATTAAATAGGGAATCCTTTCCCCATTGCTTGTTTTATTCAGGTTTGTCAAAGATCAGATACTTATAGATATGCAGCATTATTTCTGAGGGCTCTGTTCTGTTCCACTGATCTATATCTCTGTTTTGGTACCAGTACCATGCTGTTTTGGTTACTGCAGGCTTGAAGTATAGTTTGAAGTCAGGTAGCATGATGCCTCCAGCTTTGTTCTTTTGGCTTAGGACTGACTTGGCAATGCGGGCTCTTTTTTGGTTCCATATGAACTTTAAAGTAGTTTTTTCCAATTCTGTGAAGAAAATCATTGGTAGCTTGATGGGGATGGCATGTAATCTATAAATTACTTTGGGCAGTATGGCCATTTTCACGATATTGATTCTTCCTACCTACGAGCATGGAATGTTCTTCCATTTGTTTGTATCCTCTTTTATTTCATTGAGCAGTGGTTTGTAGTTCTCCTTGAAGAGGTCCTTCACGTCCCTTGTAAGTTGGATTCCTAGGTATTTTATTCTCTTTGAAGCATTTGTGAATGGGAGTTCACTCAAGATTTGGCTCTCTGTTTGTCTGTTATTCGTGTATAAGAATGTTTGTGATATTTGCACATTGATTTTATATCCTGAGACTTTGCTGAAGTTGCCTATCAGCTTAAGGGGGTTTGGGCTGAGATGATGGGGTTTTCTAGATACACAATCATGTCATCTGCAAACAGGGACAATTTGACTTCCTCTTTTCCTAATTGAATACCCTTTATTTCCTTCTCCTACCTGATTGCCCTGGCCAGCACTTCCAACACTATGTTGAATAGGAGTGGTGAGAGAGGGCATTCCTGTCTTGTGCCAGTTTTCAAAGGGAATGCTTGCAGTTTTTGCCCATTCAGTATGATATTGGCTGTGGGTTTGTCATAGATAGCTCTGATTATTTTGAGATAATTTTTGATAATTTTGATAATTTTGAGATAATATTTTAGCATGAAGTGTTGCTGAATTTTTTCAAAGGCCTTTTCTGGATCTATTGAGACAATCATATGTTTTTTGTCTTTGGTTCTGTTTATATGCTGGATTACGTCTATTGATTTGCGTATGTTGAACCAGCCCTGCATCCCAGGGTGAAGCCCACTTGATCATGGTGGATAAGCTTCTTGATGTGCTGCTGGATTCGGTTTGCCAGCATTTTATTGAGGATTATTGCATCGATGTTCATCAGGGATATTGTTCTAAAATTCTCTTTTTTTGTTGTGTCTCTGCCAGGCTTTGGTATCAGGATGATGCTGGCCTCGTAAAATGAGTTAGGGAGGATTCCCTCTTTTTTTATTGATTGGAATAGTTTCAGAAGGAATGGTACCAGCTTCTCCTTGTACCTCTGGTAGAATTCAGCTGTGAATCCATCTGGTCCTGGACTTTTTTTGGTTGGTAAGCTATTAATTATTGCCTCAATTTCAGAGCCTGTTATTGGTCTATTCAGAGATTCAACTTCTTCCTGTTTTAGTCTTGGGAGGGTGTATGTGTTGAGGAATTTATCCATTTCTTCTAGATTTTCTAGTTTATTTGCGTAGAGGTGTTTATAGTATTCTCTGATGGTAGTTTGTATTTCTGTGAGATCGGTGGTGATATCCCCTTTATCATTTTTGTTGTGTCTATTTGATTCTTCTCTCTTTTCTTCTTTATTAGTCTTGCTAGTGGTCTATCAATTTTGTTGATCTTTTGAAAAAAACAGCTCCTGGATTCATTGATTTTTTGAAGGGTTTTTTGTGTCTCTATTTCCTTCAGTTCTGCTCTGATCTTAGTTATTTCTTGCCTTCTGCTAGCTTTTGAATGTGTTTGCTCTTGCTTCTGTAGTTCTTTTAATTATGATGTTACGGTGTCAATTTTAGACCTTTCTCGCTTTCTCTTGGGGGAATTTAGTGCTATACATTTCCCTCTACACACTGCTTTGAATGTGTCCCAGAGATTCTGGTATGTTGTGTCTTTGTTCTCATCGGTTTCAAAGAACATCTTTATTTCTGCCTTCATTTCGTTATGTACGCAGTAGTCATTCAGGAGTAGGTTGTTCAGTTTCCATGTAGTTGAGCGGTTTTGACTGAGTTTCTTAATCCTGAGTTCTAATTTGATTGCACTGTGGTCTGAGAGACAGTTTGTTATAATTTCTTTTCTTTTACATTTGCTGAGGAGTGCTTTACTTCCAACTAAGTGGTCAATTTTGGAATAAGTGTGGTGTGGTGCTGAGAAGGATGTATATTCTGTTGATTTAGGGTGGAGAGTTCTGTAGATGTCTATTAGGTATGCTTGGTGCAGAGCTGAGTTCAATTCCTGGATATCCTTGTTAACTTTCTGTCTCGTTGATCTGTCTAATGTTGACAGTGGGGTGTTAAAGTCTCCCATTATTATTGTGTGGGTGTCTAAGTCTCTTTGTAGGTCACTAAGGACTTGTTTTATGAATCTGGGTGCCCCTTTATTGGGTGCATATATATTTAGGATGTTTAGCTCTTCTTGTTGAATTGATCCCTTTATCATTATGTAACGGCCTTCTTTGTGTCTTTTGATCTTTGTTGGTTTAAAGTCTGTTTTATCAGAGACTAGGATTGCAACCCCTGCCTTTGTTTTGTTTCCCATTTGCTTGGTAGATACTCCTCCATCCCTTTATTTTGAGCCTATGTGTGTCTCTGCACGTGAGATGCGCTTCCTGAATATAGCACACTGATGGGTCTTGACTCTGTATCCAGTTTATCAGTCTGTGCCTTTTAATTGGAGCATTTAGCCCATTTACATTTAAGGTTAATATTTTTATGTGTGAATTTGGTCCTGTCATTATGATGTTAGCTGGTTATTTTGCTCGTTAGTTGATGCAGTTTCTTCCTAGCCTTGATGGTCTTTACAATTTGGCATGTTTTTACAGTGGCTGGTACCGGTTGTTCATGTCCATGTTTAGTGCTTCCTTCAGGAGCTCCTTAGGTACCTGCTTTTCTAATCAATGTGATGCACTGTGTAACAGAGCTCTTGTACATCAATATTTAAATTGGAAAAATAATGTATTTAGATTTTGATCAAAATAATAATTTGTATTACTATAACTGGCTTTAAGGTGTTATTTAACTCTTTCATATCTTGGCAGAAAAGGAGCATGTTTTATAACTATTTAAAATAAATGACGTGTCAGTCCATTCTCACACTGCTAATAAAGACACATTCAAGACTGGTTAATTTATAAAGGAAAGAGGTTTAATTAACTCACAGTTCCACATGGCTAGAGGAGCCTCACAATCATCGTGGAAGATGAAAGAGGAGCAAAGTCACGTCTTACAGGAAAAGACAGTATGGGAAGAAACACCCCTTTATAAAACCATCATATCTTGTGAGACTTATTCACTGTCATGAGAATAGCATGGGAAAGACTCACCCCCATGATTCAATTACCTTCTACCGGGTCCCTCCTATGACACATGGCAATTATGGGAGCTATAATTCAAGATGAGATTTAGGTGGGAACACAGCCAAACCATATTAAATGAAGATGTCAATTTTAATTAAACAAAATTAAAAAAACAATAGAAAACAATATTAAAAAGAAAACAGTTCACTCCACATAGCATTCACCTTTTGATAGGCTATTTAAATTCTCCATATCCTAAGTGAAAATGCATATAGTTTTACTTATGAGCTATTGCAATATATTGCTAAAATTACTGTAATATTTTAATAAATCTACTGAATTTATTTGAATATATCTCTCTATATCAGAGATAGATATTGAATTACATTGGCCTTACAAAAAGGTGCAGTAGGGGTTTGTAATTCTTCATTTTTATTTTCCTAGGACAAGAAGGGGTGGGGTTTTTTTTGCCATTTATTTATATTTATAGGTCTACTGTATTTAAATTTTATATTAGTCTGTCTTATAGATGGTCTCTCAGGACATTACATTTCCTCCAAGTAATTTATGTAATAGTTGAATTTATTTTTTAAAAGTAGTTCCAAATTATTTTTCTAATATTTTTAGCATCTAATTTTTATTGTCTAATTAATATTCTCTAATTATGAGTTTTCTCCAAATATAAGATTCACCTTTCACCTGGTATACAAAGGACCAGATCAGCTCAGTCAGTGGAGAATTATACAGAGAATAATTATCCCACTGAGACTGCAATGAATACTCAAGTGAAATCCCAGGCCAATTTTGGTAAAAAGAATTTTAGAACACATCCTCACAAAACTCGTCAATGTCTGCTTTTCAACTTTCTGAAATTCCCCAAGAGATCTTTTGTTACACTTCTGCTACTAGCAGTGTTAGTCAGAGCAAATAGGGTACAATATGTTTTTCATTATTTTAACCTATGGAGAGAATGTTGTTTAAGTCCTCAAGGACAAGCATGTAAAAAGTAGACATGATATTATTTTGGTTAAAGCTATGTTTTAAGAGAAGACTCTTGGGGAGATAAAAAAAAAAAGCTTGTCTATGTTAATAGTGGAGTCAAATTATGAGAGGACAACTTCATGACAAATAATCCTTAAAAGATACTAGGGAAACCAGGGAACAAAAAATGTTTGAATAACTGTTAGTCTCCACCTACAAAAGATGTACACAGCTATAAAATTTACTTGAAAATATCCAGTATGCTATAAAAACAATAATTTATTTATATAGATTTATTATACTTTGAGTCAAAATTCCAGTAGGATTTTTTTAATGTAAGTTAACAAAAAGATTTAATCAGAGAACAAAGAAGAGAAACCAGGAGTATATCCATAAATCCATAAAAATCTTATTTATGAAAGAGCTTTCATTATATTTCCCTTTGGCAAATTAAAAAATACCAGTATCTATCTGGTGCTGGCAAAATTATTGTCAAGATGAAAAAAAATAAAATATTTTTCCCATTTTATGCCAAAAACTAAAAGCAATGCACATAGAAAAAAAAATAAGTCCATGTGGCTTAAAACACAAAAGATAAAACATTTAGAAGACAATATAAAAATCCTTCTAACATTATTAAACCATAAATACAGTGATTTTTAAATTAAGCTTTTTCTTAATTAGAATACACTAAAAGGAAAGTAAAAAACACAGATTGAAAGTTATTAATTACATATATACCTTAAAATGAATTGATTCCAGGATATAAAAATAATTTGTTCAATAATAAGCAAATAGACCAATTGGAAAAAAATCTAAAATGCAAAAACAGATTGTTTATAAGAAAAAAAAAACACAAGTAACGATAGCCATCATTTATTATGAAAATTGAAATTAAAATTTCAATGAAGCTTGGGCGCGGTGGCTCCCGCTTGTAATCCTAGCACTTTGGGAGGCCAAGGTGGGCGGATCACCTGAGGTCAGGAGTTTGAGACCAGCCTGGCCAACATGGCGAAACCCCATCTCTACTAAAAAAAAAACAAAATTAGCTACGCGTGGTGGCAGGCACCTATAATCCCGGCTGCTAAGGAGGCTGAGGTAGCAGAATCGCTTGAACCCAGTGGGTGGAGGTTGCAGTGAGCCAAAATTCTACCACTTCACTCCAGCCTAGGCAAAAGAGTGAAACTCCGTCTCAAAAAAAAAAAAAAAAAAAAAAAAAAAAATTCAATGAAATACCATTTTTGCAGCAATTTAATTGACAATTTTTAAATATTTGGCAATACTATCTATCGGTAAAATATGAAGCAATAGAAGATTCATATGGTACTAGTGGAAGTGCATATCATATTGATAAACAATTTGCCTTTTTGAAAACATGCATATGTTACAACCCAGAATACTTCCATACTCCAGAAAAATGCTTACATTTGTATCAGAAATGTATACAAGCAGCATTGTTTATGATAGAAAAAAATAGTAACCTAAGTGTTCATCAACAGGAGAATGAATAAATACATTATGAAATAGTCATATTATGAACTACTATGGCTGTAAAGTTGAATGAATTATAGTTATCCATAGTGTTAGGGTCCAATCAGGAAAGAGAATTTACACAGAATTTGGACAGTGAAGGTAAATATAAAACATTATTAACTGTAACAGGGTTTAAGAAAGAAAACATTGGGTAGGAAGAAGCAAATAAAACTCTAAACGTTATAGGAATAGCAGCTACAAAGAGCAGCTTATATCACTCAGGCTGAGATTGAGGGTGCAAGGAGACCGCTACACACATATGTGTGTGCATGTGCACACAAACGCACACACACGACATCCTAAAGTGAAATTCCGAACCTAGTGGACAGGGCACAACCATGTCCTGCTAAATGGAAGAGGAGAGGGGTGGTGCCACTGTTGTAGAGCTGTCAGATATCTACCCTAAAGGGTGCCTGGCAAACTTATTCATGAGGATGAGCTTCATCATAGGTTCTCTGCTATAAAATCACCTGAGTAGTGAGCTTGGGGAAGCCTCTGACTTCTGGTTGCTGCTGGCTGTGTATACTGTAGGAGTTTTGCACTGGAGAGGCTGTCTGCCCTGCAGGAACCTGCTTAGCCAGCTGGTAAGAAGGACCTGTTAGTCTTGTGATGACTCCCCAGTGCTCTTTACTGACAGAGCTTAACATGACAAAGGGACAGTTGGCATAGAAAAAATATTCAAAGGACTCATCCATTTTTGTTACCTTCTATAACAACAACAACAAAAAAGGTAAGGTAAAGGAGAATCCTAGTTAAGTAAGACTTCCTGGTTATTGTTAATATTATTACTCTAGTTGAGAGCTGGATACATAAAAGATTGTATTTTTTTACTCTATATACCCTTCTTGTTTATACTAATATTTTGTGCTTCTATCCAGCATTAAATAAAATCAGATTAATGGAACAAATCCAAGATATATTTATAGAAAAACACACTCTAAACAGTGAAGTATATGCATTCCATATCTCACTCAAATACTTCAGTGCATAGTAAAATATACATATTGAGCAACTCATTTTATAAACTTAGTATAAACATGATAAGAAAATCTGAACAACTTGTACATAAAAAGCCAATAAAGTTACCCAAACCCTTGTATAAATATAGTTGGCTACATCCTATACTAAATATTTACAAAATATTCTGGCAGTATGTTCCATTAATGTAATCCCACCACTTTTGGGAGAGGAATGCTTGAGGGCCAGGAGTTCAAGACCAGCCTGGGCAACATAGCAACACCTTGTCTTTACTAAAAAATAAAAAAAAAAACCTAAATATGATGCCCTGCACTTGTAGTCCTAGTTACTCGAGAGGCTGAGGCAGAAGAATCATTTGATCCCAGGAGTTTGAGGATGTAGTGAGCCTGTATTCACTCTAGCCTGGGTGACAGTTTGAAACTATGTCACTATGATAATAATAATAATATAAACAAGTAAAATTTATTTAAAGATGCTAGATAATGTGTCAAATTGGGAAATTCAGCAACAAATTAAAGTAGAAAATATATAAGTATTTAGATATGCTTTACACTTTTTTGTTACTAAAATGCTACATAAAATTATGTAAAATATTCTAAATATTTTCTGGATAAATATACCCCAAACCAAATAAAACATTATAGCTAATAAAAATAGTAAAAATATTTTAATTACATTCAAATAAAAAAATTAAAGTATGCTTAAAAACAATTAATTCTCAACACTGTTCTTAATGTTACAGCTAATTGCAATGTAGGATAAATGTGACTATAAATAGTGAGGAAAAAAGATTAATAATCGTGATTAGTGGCATATTGATATTTTATAATTTAAAATGTTAACAATATCATAATAAAAATCTAGTAAGGGTAACTAGGTAAAATATAGTATGCAAAATTAAATAATTTTTTAAACCAAGAATAATTTTAAATCATAATAAAAAATGATCTCATTGGAATTAGAAAGAATTATGGAGTAACAAGGAGTTAATTAAATGTAACACATAAAGCAGTGTGTACAGGGAAATTGATAGCACTAAATGCCCGCAAGAGAAAGCAGGAAGGATTTAAAATTGACACCCTAACATAACAATTAATAAACTAGAGAAGCAAAAGCAAACACACTCAAAAGCTAGCAGAAGGCAAGAAATAACTAAGATCAGAGCAGAACTGAAGGAGATAGAGACACAAAAATACCCTTCAAAGAATCAATGAATCCAGGAACTGGTTTTTTGAAAAGATCAACAAAATGGATAGACCCGTAGCAAGACTAATAAAGAAGAAAAGAGAGAAGAATCAAATAGATGCAATAAAAATGATAAAGGGGATATCGCCACCGATCCCACAGAAATACAAACTACCATCAAAGAATACTATAAACACCTCTACGCAAACAAACTAGAAAATCCAGAAGAAATGGATGAATTCCTGGACACATACACCCTCCCAAGACTAAACCAGGAAGAAGTTGAATCTCTGAATAGACCAATAACAGGCTCTGAAATTGAGGCAACAATTAATAGCCTACCAACCAAAAAAAGTCCAGGATCAGAAGGATTCACAGCCCAGTTCTACCAGAGGTACAAGGAGGAGCTGGTACCATTCCTTCTGAAACTATTCCAATCAACAGAAAAAGAGGGAATCCTCCCTAACTCATTTTATGAGGCCAGCATCATCCTGATACGAAAGCCTGGCAGAGACACAACAAAAAAAAGAGAATTTTAGACCAATATCCCTAATGAACATCGATGTGAAAATCCTCAATGAAATACTGGCAAAACGAATCCAGCAGCACATCAAAAAGCATATCCACCACAATCAAGTCGGCTTTATCCCTGAGATGCAAGGCTGGTTCAACATACTCAAATCAATAAACAAAATCCATCACATAAACAGAACCAACAACAGAAACCACATGATAATCTCAATAGATGCAGAAAAGGCCTTCAACAAAATTCAACAGTGCTTCATGCTAAAAACTCTCAATAAACTAGGTATTGATGGAACGTATCTCAAAATAATAAGAAGCTATTTATGACAAACCCACAGCCAATATCATACTGAATGGGCAAAAACTGGAAGCATTCCCTTTGAAAACTGGCACAAGACAGGAATGCCCTCTCTCACCACTCCTATTCAACACAGTGTTGGAAGTTCTGGCCAGGGCAATCAGGCAAGAGAAAGAAATAAAGGGTATTCAACTAGGAAAACAGGAAGTAAAATTGTCCCTGTTTGCAGATGACATGATTGTATATCTAGAAAACCCCATCATCTCAGTCCAAAATCTCCTTAAGCTGATAGGCAACTTCAGCAAAGTCTCAGGATGCAAAATCAATGTGCAAAAATCACAAGCATTCTTATACACGAATAACAGACAAACAGAGAGCCAAATCATGAGTGAACTCCCATTCACAAATTGCTTCAAAGAGAATAAAAGACCTACAAATCCAAGCAATGTGAAGGACCTCTTCAAGGAGAGCTACAAATCACTGCTCAACAAAATCAAAGAGGACACAAACAAATGGAAGAACATTTCATGCTCATGGATGGAAAGAATCAATATCGTGAAAATGGCCATACTGCCCAAAGTAATTTATAGATTCAATGCCATCTCCATCAAACTACCAATGATTTTCTTCACAGAACTGGAAAAAACTACTTTAAAGTTCATATGGAACCAAAAAAGGGCCTGCATTGCCAAGACAATCCTAAGCAAATAGAACAAAGCAGGAGGCATCACACTACCTGACTTCAAAGTATACTACAAGGCTACAGTAACCAAAACAGCATGGAACTGATACAAAAACAGATATATAGACCAATGGAACAGAACGGAGGCCTCAGAAATAACATCACACATCTACAGCCATCTGATATTTGACAAACCTGACAAAAACAAGAAATGGGGATAGGATTCCCTATTTTATAAATGGTGCTGGGAAAACTGGCTAGCCATATGTAGAAAGTTGAAACTGGATCCCTTCCTTACACCTTATACAAAAATTAATTCAAGAGGCAATAAATACATAAGTGTTAGACCTAAAACCATAAAATCCCTAGAAGAAAACCTAGTCAATACCATTCAGTACATAGGCATGGGCAAGGATTTCATGACTAAAACACCAAAAGCAATGGCAACAAAAGCCAAAGTAGACAAACGGGATTTAATTAGACTAAGGAGCTTCTGCACAGCAAAATAAACTATCATCAGAGTGAACAGGCAACCTGCAGGATGGGAGAAAATTTTTGCACTCTACCAATCTGACAAAGGGCTAATATTCAGAATCTACAAAGAACTTAAACAAATTTACAAGGAAAAAAACCATCAAAAAGTGGGCAAAGGATATGAACAGACACTTCTCAAAAGAAGACATTTATGCAGCCAATAGACATATGAAAAAATGCTCATTATTACTGGTCATCAGAGAAATGCAAATCAAAACCACAATGAGATACCATCTCACGCCAGTTAGAATGGCGATCATTAAAAAGTCAGGAAACAACAGATGCTGGAGAGGATATGGAGAAATAGGAACATTTTTACACTGTTGGTAGGAGTGTAAATTAGTTCAACCATTGTGGAAGACAGTGTAGAGATTCCTCAAGGATCTAGAAACAGAAATACCATTTGACCCAGCAATCCCATTACTGGGTATATACCCAAAGGATTATAAATCATGCTACTATAAAGACACATGCACACGTATGTTTATTGCGGCACTATTCACAATAGCAAAGACTTGGAACCAACCCAAATGTCCATCAATGATAGACTGGATTAAGAAAATGTGGTACATATATACCATGGAATACTATGCAGCCATTAAAAGGATGAGTTCATGTCCTTTGCAGGGACATGGATGAATCTGGAAACCATCATCTCAGCAAACAATCACAAGGACAGAAAACCAAACATTGCATGTTCTCACTCATAGGTGGGAATTGAACAGTGAGATCACGCGGACACAGGGAGGGGAACATCACACACTGGGGCCTGTCAGGGAGTGGAGGGCCGGGGGGAGGGATAGCATTAGGAGAAATACCTAATGTAAATGGCAAGTTGATGGGTGCAGCAAACCAACAGGACACATGTATACCTATGTATCAAACCTGCATGTTGTGCACATGTACCTTAGAACTTAAAGTATAATTTAAAAGAAAGTAACATAAAATAAATATAACGGGAGACATTAGCAAGATGGCAGAATAGGAGGTACCCAAATTTGGTTTCTTCCAAGAGAAACAGTAATTGAGCAAGTATCCATGAATTTGGATGCCTGTGTGGGAATTCTAAAAACCAGGAGAAAGGTTGGTACACAACTATGGAGGAAAAAAAGGATAAAAACACATTTAAAAGAATCAAATGAACACTCCCACTTTATCCATATCACCCCTACTCTAAGTTGTCAAAGTGCAGTGCCAAGAAGGATCCTCTTGACCTGTAATTTCTGCCATAAGGTACAGAGAGACCAAGGTGGATGTCCAATTTCCTTGACATCTCAGAGCATAGCCTGAAAGGCCCATTTCTGTCTCAACTCATCCAAAGCACTGAAGGAACTGATATGTCTAGATCACCTGGGAACAGTAAGGAACAGTAATAGGAGAGTTCTTTCAGCCACTGGCACATATGAATTTCAGTGGAAAGCACTTAATCACGCCCAGCATTCTGTTAGTCTTCCTAACTACAGAGCCTGGCAAAAGCCTTGCTTCACTGTGGAGTTCCCTGAGCTTTTCTGCCTAATTAAGGAACCCTGTCAGAAGCTTCACTCCATCATGGAGTCACTCTTAGCAGATTAGCTGGAACACAGAGCACCATCTACCCACCCATCTCAATTACAGTGACCCTGCTGGTTCCGCAAACGCAGAGGAGTAGCAGCAGATGCCATCTAAACCCAGAGCTCTGTGTCTCTGCCAGCTGGCTTTGCCTCAGTGTGGAGGCCTGGCCAAATCACAGATGATACAACTGGCCCTCCCAGATTTCTGTGCCTGGCTGGCTGGTGCAGCCTTTCCCTGCCAAAGCCAATCTATAAAAACTAGAGGAGGTGACTGAGTTCTCAAATGTGTGAACACCAGTAGAAGAATACAAGGCTCACAAAGAATCAGGAGAAAATGACATCATCAAAGGAAAATATCAAAGCTCCAGAAACCATGCATAAAGAAATGGAGATCTACAAGTTGCCTGACAAAGAATTCAAAATAATCATCTTTAAGAAGGGAAAATGACACGATCAAAGGAGAATATCAAAGCTCCAGTAACCAACCCTAAAGAAATGGGGATCTACAAGTTGCTGACAAGAATTCAAAATAATCATCTTTAAGAAGCTCAGTGTGCTACAAGAGAAAACAGACAACTAAACTATATCAGGAAAACAATACATAGACAAAATGAGAAATTCAACAATGAAATTAAAACCATACAAAAATATTTACAAAAATCCTAAAGCTAAAGAATACAATGACTGCATTGAAAAACTCAATAGGGAGGTAGAAAAGAAACTACTGGGGCAGTCCTAGAGCCTGGATCTACAGGGACCAGCTTGGAGCCCATGTTAATAGGGGCAACCCTAAAGCCTGTGTTCACAGAGCTGGACCTGGATCCTGGAGCCATGGTGGCAAGTGTGCTGCTGCAGCAGGCTTAGAGCCAGAATCTAACATGGTGGGCTTGGAGACTTGGTTCATGGGGTTCAGCCTGTCACTGGGGCAGGCCCAGAACCTAGGTTTGCAAGGGCCAGTTTGGTAACAGGGTCTACTGGGGCAACCCTGAAAGGTAGGTCTGTAGATTCTGGCTTGGAGTCTGCATCTACCTAGGACAGTCTAGCCTTGGGGTTCACTAGGGTGGGACTGGTGCTGCTGTCTGGGAAAAATTCCGGGGCTCACCAAAATCTCCTTCCCATACACGGAGGATATCCCTCTCAGCACTGCATGGGCTTGAGGGAGGGGTGAGTGAGTAATGTAATACTATTATTCTTATACTCTCTGATATATATATTTCTCTTTTCTGTGCTCTGCCCATGTGTTGTAATTTCTAATCTGAAACAGTGTTCCATGAAAAGATGTATGCAAAGCAACCCCCAAATGCCAAAGGGGCCAAGAAACCAGAATAACAATAATAATAATAATAATAATAATAATACAAAAAAGAAGCCAGACAAATTGAGGGAAGTTACAGATAGAAGCATGGTTTTAGGTGGCTGCAAGACAGGTAGATTTCCACAATATTACTCACCAGACCCCAGGCTTACATGCCATAGGGAAAGGGTAGACATGCCCTAGCAAGACAATGAAAGGCAACCCTCCAGAACAGTCAAGAATACTATGTGCATCATAGCCCATAATTTGTGTGATAACATCACGATTTCTTTGTTCTTACACTAGGTACAGTGAATAAAGTAGAAACCAGGAAAAACTCATGAAATTGGGGCTAATCAGAAGTCAACATGTCAGATTAGCATCCAAGATGGAGAGATGGAGTCACTTTTTTCTCCACACTCCATCCATCTAATCCCGCTCTTACAATCTCACATGTCCACCTCTTCCACAGTGGTCCCTGAGACTCTAGAGAGGGAGGGATGCTGCAGTCATTTCCATGGTTTGAGTGACATATTGTATCAATTTGTTTCCTACTTGTCAGCAAAGGCTGCAGCAACAATACAAACAAAAGACAATGGTATCTATATCAAGTATAAGACACAAAATTAATAATGTCTTTTTCTGTCATGTTCCTCAGAATCCAAATCAAGAGGAGTAAAGCAGAGCAGCAATAGGAACAGGAAACTATGGACAGAAATACAAGTGTTTCAGCCGATACTTGCCAAGGAAGTCTTTTCCCTCAAGCAAAATGACTGTGGTAGCTTCATTTGTTGGTTAGGACATTGGCAGTCCAAGGATTATGGGCTAAGGATGTATACTAAGCATGCTGCCTGACAAACAAGGTGCTAGTAATATCTGTCAAGTCACAATGACAGCAAAAGACTATGTTAAACGGCCGACGAAATTGCCCTTTAAAAAGAGCCATGTTCCAGTGTATTAGCATGTGGAGCTTCTTGGCCCAGACTCCAACACAATCAACAGAGACCACTTTAGTTGGCCACAGAATTCCTCACTCTCTGGCAAAAAAAAATACGCTGTGTAACCTTGGGAAAGCTGCTAGTCCAACCCCAATACAAGAGCCCCCTTTCCTGGCTCAAGGTCTTGGGGAATCCCCAAATAACATTTTTCAGTGGTCTTTTATCAGTTCCAGTAAACATGCATCTGGTTGAACCTTTTTTTACAACTATGTCAATAGATCTTCCATTGTGGTGTTCTCAAGTCATTGGGTATGGTTCCAGCCCTGTATTTGTTTCAGCCCAATTAAGGTTTCTAATGGCCTGGGGCAAAACTTTCACCTTTCCATGTGCAGGTATTGGATTGTAGAAGTGTTTGCAGTTGTGCTTTCAAAATACCATTTTTCCTTCCAAGTAACCCTACTCCATGGGGATTACACGGCAAGTGAAATCTCCGATTTATGTCCTTTTCATGAGCCCAGTCTTGGACATCATGCCTAGTGAAATGTGTGCCTCGATTGCTATCAATGCATCAAAGATATCCACACATGACGTGAAGTTGTTCCAAGTCCTTAATGGTGGCTGTTGGTTTGCCCTTTTACAAGGCAAAGCCTGTAATAAACCTGTGGTCGTGTCTTCCCAAGCTTACTGGCTGGTGTCTGATGTAGTCTATCCATCAGTCTCTCACACGGACAGCTGTCTTAAGTATGTGTCCTGGTGCATGTAGAATGAGGCAGGGGTGCAGGCAGAAGCAAACTAAGCAGTTTGTTACTGCTGCTGCTAAATCTGGATAGCGCAGGGGCAATGCTACTCCCTTTGCTATCTGCCAGCCCACTTGCGCACTAGGATGCTCACTGTGTTTGGGTGTCTAATCAGCTAGCTCAGATGGTTGAGAGGGAGCCAGTGTTCTCATTCTTGCTAGGGTATCAGATTCCATGTTACCATCGGATTAATCTGACCTGTGTTGTGAAACATGATACATAATTGGCTTGCAATTGGTCCTTGTAGCTTTTCCCAGATGTCTTTCCAAATGGCAGCTCCCCACTGGGGGTTTTGTTAGTACATTCCAGTCATCCGGGGCCCACTCTGCAAGCCAAGTTGCAAGAATACTGCCCAACTATCTATTCAAGAACTATAGGCCATGGCTCATGGATACAAACTAACCATGCATCCTGGAGTTCTGTCCATTGCTATTTTGCTGTCTTCCAATCTCAAACCATATGGTACCTGTCTGCAGTTGTATCGCTACTGCCATTTATACACAAGGGCTACCTCAGCAAAACCCATCCGAGTGCCCAGTATTTTCAGGAATGAGAGCTGTGCCTTCATGTATCCTCAGAGGCATGCCCTTTGGGGGCTGCACAATAGTGGCCACACTGGTCTCATAGTGTACTGGTACTAAGAGAGCATGCAGTTCCTCTCCCAAGGGACTGATGGAGAGGCTGCTACATTGTTGCAGGTTTGCATGCCAGTTTTGTAAAGTGGAGGCATGGGCAATAATTGAGGCAAGCCTGGCAAACAACCCTTCTCTCCAGTCCTTGATAGGAAGACCTGTTTTCACAGTTACTGTAAAGCAGCAGTTATGAATTCAACGTGCTGCAAGCCCTTCTATACCCCTAGGACCTGTTGTTCAGTTGGGGAATAACAGGTTTCAATGCTCTTCCATAGTTGTAACTAGAATCCTGCTTTCCCATGCTGGACTTTCTTATGCTGGCCCAGCTGGTCCCATCAGTGCTTAGGCAGGGTGAAACTTAAGGCTTGTACCTGAGCCTCTAATAGTTTAGTCTTCTCAAATGCTTCCTCTTGTTCTTTATCCCAGCATCACCTAAATCCCTTCTTTATTAGTTTATTCAGGGGACTCAAACATTGCACTAACTGTGGAAAAAAGCCACTTACTATCCCAAAAAGACCTAAGAAACTTTGTAACTGTTAAAATGGTTCTAGACATGGAAAATTGCACCCCTGATATAAGACATATTTTACTTAGCCTAGTAACCTTTAGGATCTTTGCAGCTGGTCCTGGGCCTTGTATTTTTTGTGGGCTGGTGGCCTATCCTCTGGATTGAAGAAGCATATGCACAAGGCATCAAGGCATTGCTATAGCAATAACAAGTCTTCAGAGGTTAGCATAATATCATTAATGTAATGAAACTGTTTAACAGCAAGTAGGAGTGGACATAAAATTAAATCTCTACCAATTATTCCAGGACAAAGAATGGGGCTGTGTAGATTCCCTGGTACAACTCTTGAAATGCCCCCTGTTGGCCATTCTGAGTAAAAGCAAATTGGTCCTATTAATCAGGGTGCAAAGCAATGCCAATGAAGTAATTAACTAAATCTAGCACAGCATGGTAAGTGTCTATATTTTGTATTTATTTGCTGTATCATTTGGGTGATACTGGCCATAGCAAGCACGTATCTCAGGAACCATATTATTTAGTTCCTGGTGGTTTACTGTCATGTGCCAGATGCCACCTGGTTTTCTTACTGGCTATAAGGGACTGCTGAAGAGACTCTGCGCTGGCTGGATAATATTAAGTTTGGTCAGTTCATGTATAGTGGCTGGGATTTCTTCTGTCCCACCAGAAAGATAGTGTTGTTTCACATGAGCGATATGTCATGGGGAAGGAAGGTGTACAAGTTCCCCTCTTAAAATAGTCTCTACCCTCCTGAACCCACAGGAAAAATTCCCCCACACGTGTTTGTAATATGAATTCTAACAGGACATCCATCCCCAAGATATTTTCTGAAATAGGTGAGCTAAAGACAGTATAGTAAGCAGGGGGACTCCACCCAATACCAGGAAGGAGAGGAGTTTGTTTCACTTGGATAGTCTCTCTGGGTTTCCATAAATTAAGGTGCATTCTGCATCCATACGCACTAAAGCTAAGGTTCTCTGCTTGTTGTTTGGATTCCAATATATAGTGAGCTCCACACGAGGCCTCTGGTAACCTCCTATTACTTTCACATGGAAGAAACCTTGGCCCTATTCCTAGTCTCTAGGGTGGGGAGGAGTCCACCCCTGGAACACAGAGATTGTGGTTATTTTACATGGAGTTTCTTCTGCTCCTGCTTGCTTTTCTGCTGCGGCACTGAGAACTGGTCTAAACTCTTGATCAAGAGTCAGGTTTCCCATTCAGTATGATATTGGCTGTGGGTTTGTGATAGATAGCTCTTATTATTTTGAGATACGTCCCATCAATACCTAATTTATTGAGAGCTTTTAGCATGAAATGTTGAATTTTGTCAAAGGCCTTTTCTGCATCTATTGAGATAATCCTGTGGTTTTTGTCTTTGGTTCTGTTTATATGCTGGATTACATTTATTGATTTGCGTGTATTGAACCAGCCTTGCATCCCAGGGATGAAGCCCACTTGATCATGGTGGATAAGCTTTTTGATGTGCTGCTGGATTTGGTTTGCCAGTATTTTATTGAGGATTTTTGCATCAATGTTCATCAAGGATAATGGTCTAAAATTCTCTTTTTTGGTTGTGTCTCTGCCCGGCTTTGGTATCAGAATGATGCTGGCCTCATAAAATGAGTTAGGGAGGATTCCCTCTTTTTCTATTGATTGGAATAGTTTCAGAAGGAATGGTACCAGTTCCTCCTTGTACCTCTGGTAGAATTTGGCGGTGAATCCATCTGGTCCTGGACTCTTTTTGGTTGGTAAGCTATTGATTATTGCCACAATTTCAGAGCCTGTTATGGGTCTATTCAGAGATTCAACTTCTTCCTGGTTTAGTCTTGGGAGGGTGTATGTGTTGAGGAATTTATCCATTTCTTCTAGATTTTCTAGTTTATATGCATAGAGGTGTTTGCAATATTCTCTGATGGTAGTTTGTATTTCTGTGGGATCAGTGGTGATATCCCCTTCATCATTTTTATTGCATCTATTTGATTCTTCTCTCTTTTCTTCTTTACTAGTCTTGCTAGTGGTCTATCATTTGTTGATCCTTTCAAAAAAAACCAGTTCCTGGATTCATTAATTTTTTGAAGGGTTTTTTTGTGTCTCTATTTCCTTCAGTTCTGCTCTGATTTTAGTTATTTCTTGCCTTCTGCTAGCTTTTGAATGTGTTTGCTCTTGCTTCTCTAGTTCCTTTAATTGTGATGTTAAGGTGTCAATTTTGGATCTTTCCTGCTTTCTCTTGTAAGCATTTAGTACTATAAATTTCCCGCTACACACTGCTTTGAATGTGTCCCAGAGATTCTGGTATGTTGTGTCTTTGTTCTCATTGGTTTTAAAGAACATCTTTATTTCTGCCTTCATTTCGTTTTGTACCCAGTAGTCATTCAGGAGCAGGTTGTTCAGTTTCCATGTAGTTGAACGGTTTTGAGTGAGTTTCTTAATCCTGAGTTCTAGTTTGATTGCACTGTGGTCTGAGAGACAGTTTGTTATATTTCTGTTCTTTTACATTTACTGAGGAGAGCTTTACTTCCAACTATGTGGTCAATTTTGGAATAGGTGTGGGGTGGTGCTGAAAAAAATGTATATTCTGTTGATTTGGGGTGGAGACTTCTGTAGATGTCTATTAGGTCCGCTTGGTGCAGAGCTGAGTTCAATTCCTGGGTATCCTTGTTGACTTTCTGTCTCATTGATCTGTCTAATGTTGACAGTGGGGTGTTAAATTCTCCCATTATTATTGTGTGGGAGTCTAAGTCTCTTTGTAGGTCACTCAGGACTTGCTTTATGAATCTGGGTGCTCCTGTATTGGGTGCATATATATTTAGGATACTTAGCTCTTCTTGTTGAATTGATCCCTTTACCATTATGTAATGGCCTTCTTTGTCTCTTTTGATCTTTGTTGGTTTAAAGTCTGTTTTATCAGAGACTAGGATTGCAACCCCTGCCTTTTTTTGTTTTCCATTTGCTTGGTAGATCTTCCTCCATCCCTTTATTTTGAGCCTATGTGTGTCTCTGCACATGAGATGGGTTTCCAGAATACAGCACACTGATGGGTCTTCACTCTTTATCCAATTTGCCAGTCTGTGTCTTTTAATTGGAGCATTCAGTCCATCTACATTTAAAGTTAACATTGTTATGTGTGAATTTGATCCTGTCATTATGATGTTAGCTAGTTATTTTGCTCGTTAGTTGATGCAGTTTCTTCCTAGCCTTGATGGTCTTTACAATTTGGCATGATTTTGCAGTGGCTGGTACTGGTTGTTCCTTTCCATGTTGAGTGTTTCCTTCAGGACCTTTTTAGGGCGGGCCTGGTGGTGGCAAAATCTCTCAGCATTTGCTTGTCTGTAAAGTATTTTATTTCTCCTTCACTTATGAAGCTTAGTTTGGCTGGATATGAAATTCTGGGTTGAAAATTCTTTTCTTTAAGAATGTTGAATATTGGCCCCCACTCGCTTCTGGCTTGTAGAGTTTCTGCCGAGAGATCAGCTGTTAGTGTGATGGGCTTCCCTTTGTGGGTAACCCGACCTTTCTCTCTGGCTGCCCTTAACATTTTTTCCTTCATTTCAACTTTGGTGAATCTGACAATTATGTGTCTTGGAGTTGCTCTTCTCGAGGAGTATCTTTGTGGCGTTCTCTGTATTTCCTGAATCTGAATGTTGGCCTGCCTTGCTAGATTGGGGAAGTTCTCCTGGATAATATCCTGCAGAGTGTTTTCCAACCTGGTTGCATTCTCCCCATCATTTTCAGGTACACCTATCAGACGTAGATTTGGTCTTTTCACATAGGCCCATATTTCTTGGAGGATTTGTTCGTTTCTTTTTATTCTTTTCTCTTTAAACTTCCCTTCTCACTTCATTTCATTCATTTCGTCTTCCATCACTGATACCCTTTCTTCCATGGGCAAAAACTGGAAGCATTGCTTTGAAGACTGGCATAAGAGAGGGATGCCCTCTCTCACCTCTCCTATTCAACATAGTGTTGGAAGTTCTGGCCAGGGCAATTAGGCAGGAGAGGGAAAAAAAAGGGTATTCAATTAGGAAAACAGGAAGTCAAATTGTCCCTGTTTGTAGATGACATGATCGTATATCTGGAAAGCCCCATTGTCTCAGCCCAAAATCTCCTTAAGCTGATAAGCAACTTCAGCAAAGTCTCAGGATACAAAATCAATATGCAAAAATCACAAGCATTCTTATACACCAATAACAGACAAGCAGAGAGCCAAATCATGAGTCAACTCCCATTCACAATTGCTTCAAAGAGAATAAAATACCTAGGAATCCAACTTACAAGGAATGTGAAGGACCTCTTCAAGGAGAACTACCAACCACTGCTCAATGAAATAAAAGAGGATACAAACAAATGGAAGAATATTCCATGCTCGTGGGTAGGAAGAATCAATATCATGAAAATGGCCATACTGCCCAAGGTAAATTACAGATTCAATGCCATCCCCATCAAGCTACCAATGACTTTCTTCACAGAATTGGAAAAAACTACTTTAAAGTTCATATGGAACCAAAAAAGAGCCCACATCGCCAAGTCAATCCTAAGCCAAAAGAACAAAGCTGGAGGCATCATGCTACCTGACTTCAAACTATACTACAAGGCTACAGTAACCAAAACAGCATGGTACTGGTACCAAAACAGAGATATAGATCAATGGAACAGAACAGAGCCCTCAGAAATAATGCCGCTTATCTACAACTATCTGATCTCTGACAAACCTGAGAAAAACAAGCAATGGGGAAAGGATTCCCTATTTAATAAATGGTGCTGGGAAAACTGGCTAGCCATATGTAGAAAGCTGAAACTGGATCCCTTCCTTACACCTTATACAAAAATCAATTCAAGATGGATTAAAGACTTAAACGTTAGACCTAAAACCATAAAAACCCTAGAAGAAAACCTAGGCAATACCATTCAGGACATAGGCATGGGCAAGGACTTCATGTCTAAAACACCAAAAGCAATGGCAACAAAAGCCAAAATTGACAAATGGGATCTAATTGAACTAAAGAGCTTCTGCACAGCGAAAGAAACTACCATCTGAGTGAACAGGCAACCTACAAAATGGGAGAAAATTTTCGCAACCTACTCATCTGACAAAGGGCTAATATCCAGAATCTACAATGAACTCAAACAAATCTACAAGAAAAAAAAAAAAAAAAAAAACCCCATCAAAAAGTGGGCAAAGGACATGAACAGACACTTCTCAAAAGACAACATTTATGCAGCCAAAAAACACATGAAAAAATGCTCACCATCACTGGCCATCAGAGAAATGCAAATCAAAACCACAATGAGATACCATCTCACACCAGTTAGAATGGCAATCATTAAAAAGTCAGGAAACAACAGGTGCTGGAGAGGATGTGGAGAAATCAGAACACTTTTACACTGTTGGTGGGACTGTAAACCAGTTCAACCATTGTGAAAGTCAGTGTGGTGATTCCTCAGGGATCTAGAACTAGAAATACCATTTGACCCAGCCATCCCATTACTGGGTGTATACCCAAAGGACTATAAATCATGCTGCTATGAAGACACATGCACACGTATGTTTATTGTGGCACTATTTACAATAGCAAACACTTGGAACCAACCCAAATGTGCAACAACGATAGACTGGATTAAGAAAATGTGGCACTTGTACACCATGGAATACTATGCAGCCATAAAAAATGATGAGTTCATGTCCTTTGTAGGGACATGGATGAAATTGGAAATCATCATTCTCAGTAAACTATTGCAAGGACAAAAAACCAAACACCACATGTTCTCACTCTTATGTGGGAATTGAACAATGAGAACACATGGACACAGGAAGGGCAACATCACACTCTGGGGACTGTTGTGGGGTGGGGGGAGGGGGAAGAGATAGCATTTGGAGATATACCTAATGCTAAATGATGAGTTAATGGGTGCAGCACACCAGCATGGCACATGTATACATATGTAACTAACCTGCATTGTGCACATGTACCCTAAAACTTAAAGTATAATAATAATTAAAAAAAAAAAAAGTCAGTTTTCCAAAGGCCTGCTTACATGACATTTGGTTGCCGGGCTATTTTCTCTATGTCTCTTCTGGCCGGAATCAGATCATAGCACATTTGTTTCCCAGAAATCCTAACTGGGCCTTTTTGCTCCCTTTTTCAGTCCAGTAGGATGTCTTTTATTTTTTCTTTTCCTTTAGCGACCATTTGAACATCATCGCTTCCCTTTTTAGTTTCTCCAAAATCAGAAATGGCTTCACCATCTCATACGCATTTTGTCCCACAAGGGGGCCCACTACTCTTGGTGGTGGGGTTGTGGGGGTGGGGGTGAGGATGGGAACTTGGTCATTTTTCAACTCCATTCTTTGCTAGGGAGATGCCATCCTCACCTGTGTCCCAGGGCACACCATTCACGTGGCTAAGCTTTCTTTCGGCAGCTGTTTAAATGTTTTTGCTATGTACCATAATCCTGCCGAGGGCTGCACGTGTTGGGCTTTTGCTTTCTGCTGCATAAGCAATTTTGCTTTCAAAAGGGAAGAAAAATTTCCACCTCCTCTGAATGAACCTCTATGTCATCATCTGATTCAGTAGTTGGTTCGCAAGAATTCCAGGTATTTGCATCCCCGTCTGGTTTGAGGAGAACAGCCAGCACTTGCAGCCTGCACAGCTTCATCCCTCCCAGCTTTACAAAGTGGCAAGCAAAGGTTTGCAGCTATGCCTCCTGAGTTTCCAGCTAGTCAACCAAAGCAGGCGCTAAGATAGATGTGAAAGTTCTCATAACGCTTTTTAACTGCAATTCTTCCTCCGACTTTCCTACACTTACCTCAGCTGTTACCTGCACTTCTGTGGCCACTCACACAGACCATAACGGCAGCATACTTGCTGTTGTCACAGCTCTATGACCTTTCTCACCACTGAATCATGTGGCTTTTTACTAGCAAGCTTTCTAGACCCTCCGGCAGGCATTTCAGGGTGTAGCTGTACTCAAGTGGTAGTCCACAGGCATCTGCCAAATGGACACCACCACCCCCCCATAGATGAGGAGGGTCACCATGGAATTCCCCCTGCGAATGCTTCTTCTCCCCTGTCCATACTTTCATTTCTTGGCTTCTCCTGGCCAGCTCGCCATTTGATCCGTGAAAGGCCTATGTATGCAAAGTGCCTCCCAGATGCCGAAGGAGTTGAGAAAAAGAAAAAGGCAGACAAGTCCAGTTTGTCAGTAATGGTGGTTGTATTGAGGGAACTTAAAGAAACAAGTGTGGTCTTAGGCAGCTGCAAGACAGGTAGATCTCCTCGCTGTTACTCCTTGGACCCAAGGCTTATATACCATGGGGAAAGGGTACATATGTTGTAGCAAGACAATAAAAGGCAACCCTCCAAAACAGGCAGAAATGCTATGCGCATCAGAGCCTGTAATTTGTGCAATAGCATCAAGGTTGTCTTGTTTTCACACTAGGCACATTAAATAAAGTAGAAACCAAGAGGCATTCACTGAATTGGGGCTAATTAGAAGTCAACATGGCAGATTAGCATCCAAGATGGAGTCTCTTTTGTCTCCGCAAATCCAGATTCCTCATGTACGTATTTTCAGGTGTGAAAAGTTGTTTATATCAAAGTGTCTGTGAGAAAATGAGGACGGGAAATGCTATTCCATCATCATGCTGATGTCATCTCTTTCAGTGGATTTTTAAAGGTCTTTGTTATATTTAAGATCACTAATCTGCAAATAAAGTTATATTCTTCCTTTTAAGTTTGTCTACTTTTTATTTAATTTTATTGACAAATGCTTTGAATAGAGTCTCTAGTATAATATTGAATGTAATTGTCAAGAGCACCCAATTCCTGACTTGTTCCTGATCTGGGGGAGAAAGCATTCACCCTATTTTTAAACCTTCAAGTGTGATGTTGAATATGGAATTTTCAAAGATGTATTTTATCAGGCTGTAAAGAAATATAAGAAAATATTTATCAGAATTATAAAGGAATACCAGCTTCCCGTCTATTCGTAGATTATTGAGTGTTTTATCATGGAAGTGTATTGGAATTTGTAGATATTTTTTCACCTTTACTGAGATGACTATGTGCTGCTTCTCCTTTGTTCTGCTAAAATAGTATGCTACATCTATTGTCATTTTTATTTTGTTTAAATGTTTATATTTTTATGGGATACAAGTGCAGTTGTATGACACAGATATATTGTGTAGTGGTGAAGTCTGGGCTTTTAGTGTACACATCACCCAAATAGTGTACATTCTACCCAGTAGGTAGTATTTCATCACTCACTCACATCTCACCATCCCATCTTTTGGAGTCTCCGATGTTTATCATTCCACTCTTTATGTCCATGTGCACTCATTTTTTAGCTCCCATTTACAAGTGAAAAACATAGTTTTTTACTTTTTGTTTCTGAGTCATTTTACTGAGGATAATCACTTCCAGTTTCATCCAGGTTGCTGGAAAGATTTGATTTCATTCTTTTCTATGGCTGAATAGTTTTCTATGTGAATGTGTGTGTGGGTGTATTATATTTTCTTTAATCTTTTATTGATGGACACTTAGGTTGATTCTATGACTATCCTATTGTGAATAGTGTCACAATAAGCATACAAGTGGAGGAGTTGTTTTGATAAGTTTTTTTTTTCTTTTTGGAAAAGAAAAAATATTAGTGAGATTGCTGGATTAAAGTGTAGTTCTACTTTTAGTTATTGGACAAACCTCCATACTATTTCCACAGATGTCGTACTAATGTACATTCTCATCAACAGCATCAACAGTGTATAAGCATTAACTTTTCTCTGCATCTTCACCAACATCTGTTATATGCTGACTTTTTAATATAGCCATTCTGACTATTATGAGATGGTATCCCATTATGGTTTTAATTTACATTTCTCTGATCATTATTAATGTTGAGCATTTTTCCAGATGTTTGTTGATCATTTGTATGTCTTCCTTTGAAAAATGTCTGTTCTTTTCATTTTTCCACTTTTTAATGGAGTTATTTGCTTCTTATTGAATTTTTTGTGTTCCTTATAGACTCTGGATGTTAGCCCTCTGTTGTATGCATTGTTTCCAAATATTTTCTCCCATTCTCTAGGTTGTCTGTTTAATTTGTTTATTTCTTTTGTGGTACAGAGCTTTTTAGTTTGAGTCTAATTTGTCTGTTTTAGTTTTGTTGCATTTCCTTTTCAAGACAGTCATAAAGTCGTTGCCTTGACCAATGTCCCAAAGAATTTTTTTGTTTTTTTTTTTTCCCTCAGGATTTTTGTAGTTTCAGATCTTAGATTTGGTTCTCAGCTTGGACATTATTTGTATATAGAAATGCTGCTGATTTTTGTCTTATAGTATTTCATTTTTTAAGTTGTCTTTCTTTTCCAACTTTTATTTTAGATTCGGGGGTACACATGCAGGTTTGTGACATGGGTAAATTGCCTGTCACAGTGGTGTGGTATACAAAAACTTTTGTCACACAGATAATCAGCACAGTATGTGATAGGTAGGTTTTAGGGTTTTCTGTTTGTCTGTTTTCTGTTTGCTTTTTTTCTTTAAGACAATTTCTGACTCTGTTGTCTAGGCTGGGGTGCAGTGGGACAATCACAGCTCACTGTAGCCTCCACCTCCTTGTGATCCCTCCTTATCTTCTTCCTACCCTCCACTCTCAAGTAGGGCCCAGGGGCCATTGTTCCCTTATTTGTGTCCATGTGTGCTCAATGTTTCGCTCCCACTTGTAACTGAGAACATGTGATGTTCATTTTCTCTTTCTCTGCTAATTTGCCTAGGATAATGGCCTCCAGTTCCACTCATATTGCTGCAAAGGACATAATTTTTATTTTTTTATGGCTGCATAGTATTTCATGGTGTTACTGATTTTTGTATGTTGATTTTGTATCCTAAAACTTTATTAAAGTTGTTCATCAAGCCTAGGAGTTTTTTGAAGTCTTTAGGGTTTTCTAGGTATAAGATCATGTCACCAGCAAAGAGAGATAATCTGACTACCTCTCTTCCAATTTGGATACTTTTTATTTGTTTATCTTGCCTGAGTGCTCTAGCTAACATTTCTAGTATCATGGTGGATAGAACTGGTGAAAGTGGGCATTCTTCTCTCATTCCAGTTCTTAGAAGGAATGTGTTCAACTTTTCCCTATTCAGTATGATGTTGGCTATGGGATTGTCATTTATTAATTTCATTATTTTGAGGTATATTCCATCTATACTTAGTTTGGTAAAGATTTTTATTATGAAGGCATGCTGGATTTTATCAACTGCTTTTTCTGAATCTACTGATATGATTTTTGTTTTAAATTCTGTTTATGCAGTGAATCACATTTATTAATTTGCATATGTTGAACAAACCTTGCATCCCTGGAATAAATCCCACCTGATCCACAGTGTATTATCTGATGTACTGTTGGATTCAATTTTCTAGTATTTTGCTGAGGAGTTTTGCATCTATGTTCTCCAGGGATAATAAATAGTCTGTAGTTTTTTTTTTTGTTGTTGTTGTTGCTGCTGTGTCCTTGCCTGGCTTTAGTATCAGGGTGAAACTGCTTTGTAGAATGTGTTAGAGAGTATTCCCTCCTTCTTGATTTTTTGGAACAGTTTTCAGTAGAATTGGTAATAGTTCTTCCCTGTACATCTGGTAGAATTCAGCTGTTAATCCATCCTGTCCTGGGCTTTTTTTTTCTTGGAGATTTTTTATTACTGTTTCAATTTCACTACTGTTGTTCATCTGTTCAGTGTATCTATTTCTTCCTGGCTTAATCTTGAGTTAAAGTCTTACATCATAGTAGTGTCTGATGATTTTTTTGTTTCTATCTCATCATTTGAAATGACATCTTGATCATTGCTGGTTATGCTTATTTGAATATTCTTTTTTTTGATAATCTCTCAATTTTGTTTATCATCTCAAAGAAACAACTTTTTATTTCATTGATCCTTTGTATTGTTTTTACCTTCAATTTTAGTTCTGCTCTGATCTTTGTCGTTTTTTGTTTTTTGTTTTTTTCTAGTTTTGGGTGTGATTTGTTCTTTTTCTGGCTCCTTGAGATTCAATGTTAGGTTTTTAATTTGAGACCTTTCTATCTTTTCTAACATAGGTATTTAACACTATAAACTTGTCTGTTAGCACTGCTTTTGCTGTAATCTAGAGGTTTTGGTATGCTGTGTCTCCAATTTCATTTTTCTCAAAGAATTTTTAAATTTCTGTCCTAATTTTATCATTGACCCAACAATCATTCAGAAGCAGATTATTTAATTTCCATGTAATTTGTACAGTTTTGAAGATTCTTTTTGGTGTTGATTTCTAGGTTTATTACACCATGGTATGAGAAGATATTTGGTATTTATTTAATATTTTTAAATTTATTGAGACCTGCCTTGTGACCTAGCATAAGGTCAACTCTTGAGAATGTTCTATGCACTGATAAGAAAAATGTATATTTTGTGGTTATAGAATGGAATATTCTATAAATATCTGTTAGTTCCATTTGGTCTAGAGTCTAATTTAAATCAAGAGTTTCTTTGTTGATTTTCTGCCTCAATGACCTGTCTAGTGTTGTCAGTGAGATTTTGAAATCCTCCGCTATTATTGTACTATTATTGTACTGCTGTCTATCTCTTTTCTTAGGTCTAGTAGTATTTGTTTTATTAATCTGGGTTCCTGGCGTTGAGTGCATATATAATTAGAATTGTATTATCTACTTGTTGAATTGATCCTTTTAATATTATATAATAATCTTTATTTTCTTTTTTTAATGTTGTTGATTTAAAGTCTGTTTTAACTGATATAAGTATAGCTACTCCTGCTCTCTTTTGGTTTTAATTTTCATGGATTATCTTTTACCACTACTCTGCTTTGAGCCTGCAAATATCTTTACCACTTAGATGAGTTTCTGGTATGCAGCATATCGCCGATTCTTCTTTTGTTTGTTTGCTTATTCATTCCAATAGTCTAAATCTTTTAAGTGGTGCATGCAGTCAATTTGTGTTTAAGGTTACCATTGGTATATGAGGGTTTGTTCTTCTTATAATGTTTATTATCACCTAATTGCATTGCAGTCTTAATTATATAATTCTTTTACAAGACTTGTTTTATACTTTCATGTGTTTTTGTGATTATATGTATCACCCTTTTGTTTCCATGTTTAGAACTCTTTTGAGCATTTCTTACAGGACTGGTCTAGTGTTTTTTTCTTTTGTTAGCATTTGCTTGTCTATGAAAGACTTCGTATCTCCTTTATTTATTGAACTTAGTTGAGCAGTATGCAACATTTTCAGCTGGTATATTTTTCCTTAAAGAAGACTGAAAATAGGACCCTAATTTCTTTTGGGTTGTAAGGTTTTGGAAGAGAAGTCCACTGTAAATCTGATGAGACTTCCTTTATAGGTGATTAGATACTTCTCTCTTGTTGCTTTTAGAATTTTTTCTTCAAGTTGACTTTGAATATTCTGGTGACTATATGCCTAATGAGGTTCTTCTTGCAATGTGTCTCCCAGGAGTTCTCCAAGTTTTCTTTAACTGAATGTCTAGCTCTCTAGAAAGACCAGGAAAGATTTCATGAGTTATTTCCTCAAATAGGTTTTTCATACTTTTTATTTTTTTCTTTTCCTTCTGGAATTCCCGTAATGCCTAGGTTTGGACACTTTACATAATATTTCTCAAGGCTTTGTTCATGTTTTAAATCAACCTTGCATTCCTGGCATAAATCTTACTTGGTCCTGGTGTATAATCATTTTTATGTGCTTATATGTTCCCAGATTTGGTTTACTATTGTTTAATTAAATATTTCATACCTATATTTATAAGAATTATTAGTCTGTATTTTTTGTACTTGAAATATTTTTAGATAGTTTTGGTCTCAGAAAAATTCTGTCTCATTGAAAGAGACAAAGTATTTCATTTTCTTCTATTTTTGGAGGAGTTTGTGAACTCTTGGTGTGAATTTAATTAAACATTTTTTGAATTTTTAATTTTTATGGGTACATAGTACCCGTGAAAATCCATTACTTCAAGTTTTCATCATTTTTCTGTGTTACAGGCATTCCAATAATATGTTTATAGTTATTTTTAAATGTATAATAAATTGTTGACTGTAGTCACCCTGTTGTGCTATCAAATACTAGATCCTTTTCATTTTGACTGTATTTTTCTGCCCAATGTTATGTTTACATTTTTGGTAGAATTACATAAAGCCATTTTGGCTTGGACTTTTTTGTGTAAAGTTTTAAAAATACTAATTCTTTTTCTTTTCTTATTATAGTTCTATGAACAATTTCTGTTTTTTCTTCACTATGGTTAGGTAGGAATTTTTTTCTGTCTGTCTTTTTCTCTAGGCATTTATCTAAATGAAATCTAAACTATTTATTTTTTTGACCAATACTTGTTCATGAACTACATTAGAATCACTCTATTATTTCTATAAGGTTAGTAATAATGTCTTTGCTTCATTTATGATTTTAGTAATTTAAGTTCTCTGTTCTTTGTTTCTTGCTTAATTTACCTGAAAATTTATTAATTTTGCTAGACTTTTCATAGAGTTAAGTTTTGCTTCCATTGATTTTCCTAGTGACTTTTCTATTTTCCATTTTACTAAATTCTACTTCAATTTTTATTACTTCCTTCTGCTTTAGGTTAGTTTGTTCCTCTTCTTTTCAGTGTATTGAGAAAGAAAGTTAAATAATTGATATAAGATCTTTCTTCTTTTTAATACAGACATATGCAACTATGTATTTTTTTCTCTTAGCACTGTTCTTATTTTCATTCCACAAGTTTTGGAGTGTTATATCTTGTTTATTTATAATACAATATTTTCCATTTTTATGATTTATTTTTTAACCTATTGGCTATTTAGGAATCTATTGTTTATTTTCCACAAACTTATACATTTTTCAAATTTATTTCTGTTATTGATTTCTTTCATAGGCATGAGAAAACAAACTTTAATTTCAACCTTTTCATATTTATTTAGGTTTACTTTATGACCTAGTATTTGATCAATCTTGGAGAATTTTCTATGTTCACTTGAGGGTAATGGTTATGCTGTTTTTGTCATGTTAGTGTTTTATGGGTGTCTGTTAGGTCTAGTTGATTTATGGCATAGTTAAATATTCTATTCTGTCATTCATTTGCCTAGTTCTCTCCATTACTAAAGGTGAGAAATTAAGATTTCCAAACCTTATTGTATTATTATTTATTTTTTTATTTTTGAGACAGAGTCTCACTCTGTCGCCCAGGCTTGAGTGCAGTGGTGCCTATCTCGGCTCACTACAACTTCTGCCTTCTGGGTTCAAGTGATTCTTGTGCCTCAGCCTCCCAAGTAGCTGGGATTACAAGGTGCCACACCACACCTGGCTAATTGGTACACTTTTAGTAGAGAGAGGGTTTTGCCATGTTGGCCAGGCTGGTCTTAAATTCCTGACCTCATGTGATGTGCCTGCCTCAGCCTTCCAAAGTGCTGGGATTACAGGCATGAGCCACCGTATCCAGCCACCAACCTTTGTTTTTAAACCTTCTATTTGTCTCTTCAGTTTTGCCAAATTTTCCATCTTTCATTTGGGTATTTTGTTGCTAGATGTATATACATTTATCATGGTTAATCTTCCTGAAAGATCAACTGTTTTATTGTTTTAAAATGCCCTTCTTCGTCTCTTTCAGCACTGTTTTTTTTTTTTTTTTTTTTTGAGATGGAGTCTCGCTCTGTTGCCCAGGCTGGATTGCAGTGGCATGATCTCGGCTCACTGCAACCTCCGCCTCCCGGGTTCGGGCCATTCTCTGCCTCAGCCTCCCAAGTAGCTGGGACTACAGGCGCCCGCCATCACGCCCAGCTAATTTTTTGTATTTTTTAGTAGAGGCGGGGTTTCACCATGTTGGCCAGGCTGGTCTCGAACTCTTGACCTCAGGTGACCTGCCTGCCTTGGCCTCCCAAAGTTCTCGGATTACAGGCGTGAGCCACCATGCCCGGCCGAGACATACTTTTTTTTTAAGGAATCGTCAATTTCCAGGTGGATTATTATGCTTTTTGTGAACTTTATTTCTAATTTCTGTTAGACAAATATCCTAAGATACAGGTTTTCAGGGACAGCAACTCAGTGCCTGGCGTATACAACAGAATATCTCTTTTCTGGCTGGTTCAACCTATGTCTTTCAGTGTATTGTCCCAAAGAACACTTTTCTGCATGTCTTACAAAGTCCTTCCCTGTGAGTGCTTTGCTCAGTATTCTACTAAAAACCAAAAGGTCTTATGCCAAGTCCTATAATTTTTCTTATGTATTCAGTTATTTCCAGTACCCTACCCCTTAAACTCCAGCTGCCTCTGCATTCACAAAATATAATCTCTGCCTCCTAAGACTACAGTTGACTTTAGAACAACATGAGTTTGAGTTATGCACATCCACTTAGATGCAGATTTTCTTCTGCCTCTGCCACCTCTGAGACAGCAAGACTAACCCCTTTTCTTCCTTCTCAGCAGCCAACTTAATGTGAAGACAGTGAGGATGAAGACACTTATGATGATTCACTTCATAATGAATAGTCAATATATTTTCTCTTCCTCATAATTTTTCTCAATAGTTTCTTTTCTCCAGCTTCCTTTATTGTAACAATACAGTATAAAATAGATGTCACATATAAAACATCTGTTAGTCAACTGCTCGTGTTATGAGTAAGGCTTCCTGTCAACAGTAGGCTATTTACAGTTAAGTTTTCGGTGAGTCAAAAGTTATAGACAGATTTTCAACTGTTCAGGGAGTCAGTGCCTCTAACCCCTACACTGTTCAAGGGTCAATTATACTGTGTTCTTGAGTTGTAACTCAGTGTGCTGTGATCTAAAGAGTGCCACTAAGCAGAGATCCTGGCCAATTGTTGTGCTAACCTCATTTGTTTCCCTTGTCTCAAGAATCACAATCCTATGCTTCTTGTTATCTAAACTCTGACAATAGTTGCATATGTTTTGTCTAGTTGTGTAATTGTTAAAAGTCGGATAAAGATTACAATTCCCATTACTGTCTTATGACCAAGAACAGAAGTCAAACTATGTTTTATTATTATGAGATATATATATTTTTGAAAATAAATATATTATGGTTTATAAATCAGCCACCTCATCTCAGCTCATCGGAACACATTCTATTTTATAAAACGAAGTGTTTCCCAATTCTAGAGTCACAAATGAAGTCAATTAAGATCTTTAAACATACACACAAAAAATCAAACAAATGTTTTTCACAAAGATGACTTTCCTAAACTTCATATAGGCATTTTTTTACATTTAACTTCTCTCTATTATCTTCCCCTTCCCAAATTATAACATCTAAATTCATTTTTTAACCTTTTTTCTTTATGCATTTAGAAATGTACAAAATATAATAATAGGATACTGATTTAAGTATTCTTTATCACTTATATCTGGTTTTACTTTGTTTTTTTTTCTTTTGTGCATTATGTATAATGGGTTTTTCTGTTTTCTTTTGTGCATTATGTATAATGGGTTTTTCTGGGATGATGATTTTCAGGTATTAGGCCATTTTCTTGAGATTAATTCATTATTTCTGCAGTTACAAATCAAATTTGATGGCTTACCAATTGAAATTAATACTACAGGGAGCAAGCTGTAATATTCTTAAAGTCACTTTAATACCTATAATAAAAGACTTTTAAGTATTCTATTAACCTGGGGTTTGGTGTGGAAGAAACACATGTAACAACAGTATCAATTTAGCCTAAAATAATTAAGACAAAAGCGGTTGTCAGTTTTATATAGAGACAAAGGCAGTCCCATGGATTTATTTTGATGCAAATTATTTGATTAAAAACTAAACAATTCTATTACAAAACTAAACAATTCTATTACTAGAGAAAAATATAAAGAATCCTTAGATATAAAATAATCTGCATTTTAAAGTCACTTTGATAACAATTTTTCAGTTTACCCCTTGAGAAGCCACAAAGTGGAGGAAGCAATTAATATCAGAACTTCAAACTACCAGTGGAAAAATACCTTATTATTTTATTCTTCATCTTGTTTTTGCTTCACAAAGAGTGGTGTGTGAATAATGGGGAATGTTTGTTATATATGTTAAAATATTCATGGATGCCACCTAATGCTATTTTCTCCTTTGGATACTAGCTAGATTGTAGTCTCTTATAATTACTTGTACTGGATGCCAAAAGAACCAAGGTATGATTTCTTGTAGAGCCCAAATAAAATAAAATTATTTCCTGAAACTATCTTGCTCTATTTACTTGGCCTTGATTCTCTCTAACAATTGCTTCCAACATTAGATAATGTATTTTTAGTTTTTTCTTTCCTGCCAGCATTCAGTATCTATGCATTTGTACATTTTCATAAGTCCCTTCTTTTTTCAAATGGCATTATGTGTTTGCACATAAATTCTTCTCTTTTCCCTTGTCACGTCTGCTAATCTTTTTGCTGTTGTTGCTGCATTTGGCACTGCAAGTTCAATTTAACTTATGAAAATCAGGCTGTCTATTCTGCTTCATTCATCATCATCAACTAAAATCATTCTGGAATCAAAACTTGTTTTCTATTATCTTGTTATTTTTGGTGATGATATATGGAAGGGAAAGTAGACAGTATCAGGGTATAGAATTTAACTGTAGTTTATAACAAACATCTGCCTCTGTATAGCAACCTTGTGGGATTTGTGCAGACTCTAATCTACAAAAATCAAAATTCAGACAGAAGCTTTTTATGCCAAATATTCTTTACATGCAGAACTCAGTATGTGGATCATCAAAAGAAAATTCAAGTGTCAAATATACATAGATTACCTGTATTATATAATTACAAGAAAAAACATAAATACCCAGCATCTCCTATGTATAATACATAATTTAAGTTGAATATAGAAACTTTTGTCTTTATAACTTGAAGCAAAACATACAATTTAATAGATCAAAACACATTTTGGAGAATTGTTTTTAGGAAAAATTGAACAAAGAGTGGCTCCATTTTGTCAGTAACTTGGGAGAGGTGTAAACTCAGCTAATTGAACAAAGAGTGGCTCCATTTTGTCAGTAACTTGGGAGAGGTGTAAACTCAGCTACCTCTTCTAGTGCAAAAAAGTGGGAAAACATTCTTAACATATTAAGGTTCAATAATGAATGCATAGTATCATAGTTTTCTCTGAGCTCATGAAAGGAAAGGGATGTGTCTTACACATCCCTGTGTAAGACAGGGATGCTTGTCTTACACAGACTTAGAAGGTTGTAAAGGAAATCACTCAGAATCTTTATCCCTTTACTATGCAATTCTAAATGTAATAATTAAATTATAGATTAAAATGTAATCTTTTTTCTATTATACATTATGTCACTCATATAAATGCTAGACTTTAAAGCAAACACATAATGTCTAAGTATTATAATTCATTCATCATTTGAGCAGACTTAGGAAAAGTTATTTAATTTGGCCATTCATTTATTTAGATTCTTTGGTCTTTAAAGTTCTGTAAAATCATCTGATAAAGCTAAAAATAATACCTAAATTTTAAAGCGATATATTAAATTATCTCTATTGTGAGCAAAACATTTATGATGGATTACAAGAAATAAAGTAATAGCTCAAAAATGTTTCTTATAATTTTAATGATATTTTATTGTTATTTTGACCAACATGTTTTTCTGAACCTTAACATTTTAGTTTTACTCTATGTACTATGTGTGTAGATTGCCTCCAATTTACGATTTTCTAATTGTACTACTTGGTTGATGTCTTAGTTTAGCTAAATCCTTTTTTTTTTTTCCCAAAACACTTGATGTTGGAGGGCTCTTTAAAGGTCCTATAGTCCAACCTCTGACCATGTGCTGAAAACTCCCAACAACAACCCAGAGATGTGGCCAGTGTGGAAACGCTCACAGAGAAAAACACAACTTTCTCCTAAGCAATGTCTTCCAGTTGGGAAGTTCTTACTCATATTAAATCAAAATTTTACCATCTATATTTCTTTTTAGAGGTTTTTCTTTTAGAGATCAACTCAGAAAATGTACTGTTACAACTATATCAAAACTCCTCACATATTTATTAATATTTGTCATGTTGCAGAACATTCAATATATTAGATAAAATAATTATATTTCCTTTAACTGCTCTTCCAGTGACATGGATTTCAGGCCCTCATATATCATTCTCTCTCCTTTCCTAACTTACCAGATTTATTTTTCTTAATATCTCTATTAAATTGTCATTTCTAGATGTATGTACAGTTTTCTTAACATGATTAGACTTATACTAAAATTTATCATTTAAACATTTTTCAAATATCACATTTACTTTAAGACTGAAATATTTTTGCTAACTATACTGCTGGCTCATGTTGAACACATAATTATTAAAGACACTGTTATTTTATTCATTTGATAAATATTTAAAAGTGCATGCTACTACTAATACTACTACTACTTGTGGTTAAAACTGTGTTAGGTGGTTGGAAGATACAGATTTTGAAAAATAGGAATATCAATATAGTTAGTATGTATAAAATAATCTTCTGTGATCCAATTGCATACTGTTTTATATATTTATATTAATTTGTTTTACTAAGAATCATAAAAGGTTCCTGGGAGTTGCTATATATGGTACATCCTGAAGAATGAATAGGAGATAATTGGAACAGAAAACACAAACATGTGAAATAACATGATGATTCTTTGGAAAACTGAAGGCCTTATGAAGATATGTATGAAGATATGTACTAGGACATTAAGCTAACTAAAATAAAAGACAATATTTAGATCATAAATTCTCCAAGGTTCTAGGTTAAGGTGTTTCTTGTATTACATTTATTTTTGTTAAAAAAAATTTAACTCCACCTACTTTTGGGAAAACAAAAGTATAATGAAGAATTTCTAATATAGAGTGACAACATATGCACATCTCCTATCCTTCCAGGAAAACTATTGTAATAAAAGTAAAATATACAAGAAGCTCATTAATCAAAATCAATGAAAAACATAACAATGACAGTGTAGGTAAGTGTCTCAGAGATTTCCATATACCTATGGAGGATGCAAAGTGGAGAGATAAATGATAGTTGAAATGCCTGGGTAAAAAAACTATACAGCCTAGAAGAGATTACTAAAAAGAAAGAAGAAGGTAACCAAGTTGCCCCTGCACCCTTAAAAGAGAAAAACTTCAAAGATGTTAGATACTTGGTATGAGAAAGGCCAGAAAAAAAAAACTGAAAACAGTAGAATTGAAATCAAGTCTGTATATTGAAGATACTACAATATTTTTTCACCCACTGCAAGGTTATACCTCCTCAGGTAGAAGTTCTGAAGTTTCCGTTCCAGATAAAAGAGTAAAAGAAAATACTTCACTATATTCAGAAATCCTCCAAAGAAATATCCAAGACCCTACCCACAGATATTAAAGCAGATACCTCTAGCTAACATGGCACACCCATATACAGAGTATACCCAAACAATCTTTGGTTCATACATTAAAACATAACTGAAGAATATCTGACATGTAAGAAAAGACTTCAATTTAAGGTAGAGATGCCACAGAAAATATAATTATATAGAAGGAAGAAACTATGAAGAGCGCTAAACTGAAAAAATGTTATCTTTGGATGTGATAGGAGAAAATATTTCATCCAGAATACAACAATCATAGAACACAAACTAGCTTTTAAAAATGTAATATGGGATTGCTGAAATGAAAAAAAAAGTAATTTGATAGCACAACAGGGTGACTATAGTCAATAATAACTTAATTGTACATTTTTAAATAACTAAAGAGTGTAATTGGATTGTTTGTAACTCAAAGGATAAATGTTTGAGGGGATGGATACCCCATCCTCTATAATGTGATTATTTCACATTGCATGCCTGTATCAAAACATAACATATACCTCATAAATATATATACCCACTGTATTATTCCATTTTCATGCTGCTGATAAAGACATATCTGAGACTGGGAAGAAAAAGAGGTTTAATTGGACTTACAGTTCCACATAGCTGGGGAGGCCTCCAAGTCATGGAAGTAGGCAAAAGACACTTCATAGATGGCGGCGGCAAGAGAACAAGAGGAAGATACAAAAGTGGAAGCCCCTGATAAAACCATCAGATCTCGTGAGGCTTATTTACTACCACGAGAACAGTATAGGGGAAGCAGCCCCCATGATTCAAATTATCTTCCACTGAGTCCCTCCCACAACATGTAGGAGGTATGAAAGTACAATTTAAGGTGAGACTTGCATGGAGACACAGAGCCAAACCATACCACCTACTATGTACTCATGAAAATTGAAAATAAAATATTTTTAAAATAAAACAATTGGAATTATTTTAATGAAATAGGAAGCCAATTAAATCCCTTAGAAATTAGACTAAAAAAGAGAAGGTACTGAAAGTATCAAAGACAAGACACAGGAATAGAACATCAATCTCAAAACATTGGGAACTCCAGGAAGTGAAAACAGACAAGATTAAAGAAAGAAAATTATCAAAGAAATAATACAAACTGAGGCCCCATATCTGAAGTACACATATCTTCAGAGGAAAAGATATCAAAATGTGTTCAGGAAAATAAATTAAAAAAAAACAAAAACAAAAACAAAAACAAACCAAAAAAACCTCAAACACAGAATATCATTGTGAAATTTCAGAACAAAGACAAGAAAAATATTTAAAATTTTTATATATGTCATCTAAAGAGCAGTAAAAATCATACTAACTTTGAGCTTCTGAATGTAGATTGTCAGTATCAAATTCCATGCTCAGGCAAACTGGCAATCAATTATATAAGACAGGATATAGACATCACTAGTCATGTAAGAACTCAGAACATTGAACTCATACTCATTTTTTTCTTAATGAGCCATCTGAGAATGTGCTTTTGTAAAGTAAAAAGATAGGAAAAAGTATTAAATACAGATATAGATATAGAAAAAGCCAATAAACCTAAAATATCAACAAAAATATGGTCTGAGATAAAAGCAGTGATTGATCAGGCCTGGAGAAAAGTAAATACAATGTAGACTAAATGAACATTGGAGCTTTAGATGGTGAATTTGGGATTACGAAAATGAAATAGATAGTATAAGTGGACATTTAGGAAAGGTTTATGATGAGGAATTAGACCATTAGGAAGAACAGAAAGACAATCCTGGTCTTAAGGAGAATCATAATTATTTTACACCTTCTCTCTAAGTGACACTATTTAAATGGTCACTGATTAGAGATTTAACTAATATCAAATATGTGTATCAAAGTTTATGAAAGATGAGGGAAAAAAGGGGGTTATGTAAGGGAATACAATTGTCTCTTATTACTAGAAGTCAAAAATAATACCCAAAATTGACAGATCAAGATTTAGTGAGTACATATACATATATATAGTTTTCTGGACAAGAATAAGAACAGAACAAAAGTATATATATGTGTTTGTGTGTGGGTGGGTGGGTTGACGTGTGTGGGGGGGTGCCATTTTAATTTCTGATAGTAACTCTTAGAAGTATCTGATAAAGGAGCTGAAATTATGATTTTTGAAGGAGTGGGACGTAATAGTCAGGAACGACTCACTAAAGCTTTCTTCTCTCATCTCAACTGGTTTTCAGCCTTACCTCCTCCATTACCTGCAACTCAACAGCCATTCTTCTTTTGCTATTCTTATTCATGTCCAGAAAAGTAGTGGTACAAGGAGGAGAACTCAGGTTAAGAAAAAGATAGACAGGAAAATTCCAAAACTCCCCAGTGTATCAACAGAAAGGTAGCTTCCCACCTGTAATAAATTTTAATTTGGCTAATCTGGACTTGAATTCAGCTGCATATTTGCTTCTACACTTTTGGCATTCTAGCATATCGTTGTGAATACTATGTCAATTATGACGCACCAGAGTCTGTCATTTTCCATTAAGTCAGAAGAAAGAGCATATGCCTTCCCTATTATTCCTGAAATGAAATTATTTTACAACCAGCTCGTTTCAGAAACAAAACATGATTTTGCACATTTGTGGATTTTGTTGTTATTCTCATTTTGTTGGATGTCTAGAAGCTTTTTTTTTTTTTACCAATGCAGAAAGAAATTACCATATATTTAGACATATATTTTATTTTGCTTTACTTATTCCTCAGGTTGGTTTAAATCTAAACATACATACTACTTTCACAATGGTTTCTATTGACTTCAATGGATCACACTCTGTACTGATGCCCCCTGTGAGATAGAAAAGAAAGAAGCTTGTTCATAGATTCCCTGTAGCACATCAACACCACTGATTCATGGCTTTAAGGACTTTAGTCACTAATTTCCTCCCACCAATGGGGAGACCCATTGCTCAATGTGTTTGGACTCTTATGGCTGCCCACTGTGACTTCAGTTCTTAATCTGCCTGAAAGTGTCAAAAGCCACACTGCTGTTAGGAGGGAGAGTTATTTTTTTTTAAAAGAAAAAAAAACCCTGCTGCTGGGAGTGATGATTTTCAGTCCTAAGAAGCCCATGATAATGGAGAGAGCGCTGAAATACATTTATTCTGTTCACTCTTGAATGAATAACCACCACAGTTCATCTATGTATGTCAGAGAATATTTTAACAATGAATTTTCACTTAGGGACCTCCAGCATGGGTAGTATGCTTAAAATTTTGCATGTTAGTTCCCTGTCATCAATGTCTAAATGGAAAAAAATCTTGTTATTAACAAAAGAAATAAGCTTGATATATTTGGTGTCCATGTCTTAAAGTTCTATGTTAACTATTAACTTGTATTTACACAAAGTGAATATATGAGCGGTTTTTCTCATTAAGGATGTATTTGATTTTTATACAAATAGGTCAAATGTATTAAACAGCATAACATATATAAAGATGCTTAACCTCACTGGTAATCAAGTAAACACAAATTGAAACATCAGTGAGTTATTTTTCACTTTCTAAATTAGAAATATTGATAAAGTAATACTACTTGATGTTGAAAATAGTTCTTGCTGAAAATAAATCAGTTCTTTCATTTTAGAAAGCAATCTGTCAATAGGAATTTAAAACCATTAATATGTTTATCCCCTTGACACATTAATCCAACATTTGAGAATCTATCTTATGATATTAACCTGAAAATAGCAATATAAGCAAGTGTCTAATTCAACATGACTTGTAATTTGTACAAGTTGTCCCACAATATGGAGAAGATTAATTAAACTATGATACAACATTACAGTCATTCATTTATTTTAATAAGAAATAAAATACTTCTCTTATAAGGCTTATACCAAAAATCTTATCCTGAACATAATTGATACCAAACTTACAAGCTAAGAAAGATTGAACATGTTTGACATTTGAGAAAAAAAAAGCAGAATGCATATTTACATATATGGTATTTTTATTGATCTGGACTCTTTTGGATGCAAGTGATAGACTAAAATTAACTCACTTATTATAGGACTGGTAGACAGTAGAGTTGTTCACAGAAGTAAAGAAAACACTAAAATTCAAACTCTTTTTTTAAATTATAGTTTAAGTTCTAGGGTACATGTGCACAATGTGCAGGTTTGCTACATATGTATACATGTGCCATGTTGGTGTGCTGCACCCATTAACTCATCATTTACATTAGGTATATCTACTAATGCTATTGCTCCCCCCACTACACCCCACGACAGACCCCAGTGTGTGATGTTCCCCACCCTGTGTCCAAGTGTTTTCATTGTTCAGTTCCCACCTATGAGTGAGAACATGCAGTGTTTGGTTTTCTGTCCTTGCGATAGTCTGCTGAGAATGATGGTTTCCAGCTTCATCCATGTCCCTACAAAGGACATGAACTCATCCTTTTTTATGGCTGCATAGTATTCCATGGTGTATATGTGTCATATTTTCTAAATCCAGTCTATCACTGATGGACAATTGGGTTGGTTCCAAGTCTTTCCTATTGTGAATAGTGCTGCAATAAACATACGTGTGCATGTGTCTTTATAGCAGCATGATTTTATAATCCTTTGGGTATATGTCCAGTATTGGGATGACTGGGTCAAATGGTATTTCTAGTTCTAGATCCCTGAGGGATCGCCACACTGTCTTCCACAATGTTGAACTAGTTTACAGTCCCACCAACAGTGTAAAAGTGTTCCTATTTTCCACATTCTCTCCAGCATCTGTTGTTTCCTGACTTTCTAATGATCACCATTCTAACTGGTGTGAGATGGTATCTCATTGTGGTTTTGATTTGCATTTTTCTGATGGCCAGTGATGATAAGCATTTTTTCATGTGTCTGTTGGCTGCATAAATGTCTTCTTTTGAGAAGTGTCTGTTCATATCCTTCGCCCACTTTTTGATGGGGTTGTTTGATTTTTTCTTTTAAATTTGTTTAAGTTCTTTGTAGATTCTGGATACTAGCCCTTTGTCAGATGGGTAGATTGTAAACTTTTTCTCCCATTCTGTAGGTTGCTTCTTCACTCTGATGGTAATTTCTTTTGCTGTGCAGAAGCTCTTTAGTTTATTTAGATCCCATTTGTCAATTTTGGTTTTTGTTGCCATTGCTTTTGGTGTTTTAGTCGTGAAGTCCTTGCCCATGCCTGTGGCCTGAATGGTATTGCTTAGGTTTTCTTTTAGGGTTTTTATGGTTTTAGGTCTAACATTTAAGTCTTTAATCCACTTTGAATTAACTTTTGTATAAGGTGTAAGGAAGGGATCCAGTTTCAGCTTTCTACATATGGCTAGCCAGTTTTCCCAGCACCATTTATTAAATAGGGAATCCTTTCCCCATTGCTTGCTTTTCTCAGGTTTGTCAAAGATCAGATGATTGTAGATGTGTGGTATTATTTCTGAGGGCTCTATTCTGTTCCGTTGGACTATATCTCTGTTTTGGTATGAGTACAATGCTGTGTTGGTTACTGTAGCCTTGTAGTATAGTTTGAAGTCAGGTAGCATGATACCTCCAGCTTTGTTCTTTTGGCTTAGGATTGTCTTGGCAATGCGGGCTCTTTTTTGGTTCCATATGAAATTTAAGGTAGTTTTTTTCCAATTCTGCAAAGAAAGTTATTGGTAGCTTGATGCAGTTGGCATTGAATCTATAAATTACCTTGGGCAGTATGGCCATTTTGATGATATTGATTCTTCCTATCCATGAGCATGGAATGTCCTTCCATTTGTTTGTGTCCTCTTTTATTTTGTTGAGCAGTGGTTTGTAGTTCCCCTTGAAAAGGTCTTTCACATGCTTTGTAAGTTGGATTCTTAGGTATTTTATTCTCTAACGTCATAATGACAGGATCAAATTCACACATAACAATATTAACCTTAAATGTAAATGGGCTAAATGCTCCAATTAAAAGACACAGACTGCCAAATTGGATAAAGAGTCAAGACCCATCAGTGTGCTGTATTCAGGAGACACATCTCACCTGCAGAGACACACATAGGCTCAAAATAAAGGGATGGAGGAAGATCTACCAAGCAAATGGAAAACAAAACAAAAGCAGGGGTTGCAATCCTAGTCTCTGATAAAACAGACTTTAAACCAACAAAGATCAAAACAAAGAAGGCCATTACATAATGGTAAAAGGATCAATTCAACAAGAAGAGCTAACTATCCTAAATATATATGGACCCAATACAGAAGCATCCAGATTCACAAAGTAAGTCCTGAGAGACCTACAAAGAGACTTAGACTCCCACACAATAATAATGGGAGACTTTAACATCCCACCGTCAACATTAGACAGATCAACGAGACAGAAAGTTAACAAGGATATCCAGGAATTGAATTCAGCTCTGCACCAAGTAGACCTAATAGACATCTACAGAACTCTCCACCCCAAATCAACAGAATATACATTCTTCTCAGCACCACACCACACTTATTCCAAAATTGACCACTTAGTTGGAAGTAAAGCACTCCTCAGCAAATGTAAAAGAACAGAAATTATAACAAACAGTCTCTCAGACCACAGTGCAATCAAACTAGAACTCAGGATTAAGAAACTCATTCAAAACCGCTCAACTACATGGAAACTGAACAACCTGCTCCTGAATGACTACTGGGTACATAACGAAATGAAAGCAGAAATAAAGATGTTCTTTGAAACCAATGAGAACAAAGACACAACATACCAGAATCTCTGGGACACATTTAAAGCAGTGTGTAGAGGGAAATTTACAGCACTAAATGCCCACAAGAGAAAGCAGGAAAGATCTAAAATGGACACCCTAACATCACATTAAAAGAACTAGAGAAGCAAAAGCAAACACATTCAAAAGCTAGCAGAAGGCAAGAAATAAGTAAGATCAGAGCAGAACTGAAGGAGATAGTGAAACAAAAAACTCTTCAAAAAATCAATGAATCCAGGAGCTGGTTTTTTGAAAAGATCAACAAAATTCATGGTCCACTAGCAAGACTAATAAAGAAAAGAGAGAAGAATCAAATAGACGCAATAAAAAATGACAAAGGGGATATCACCACTGATCCCACAGAAATACAAACTACCATCAAAGAATACTATAAACACCTCTACACAAATAAACTAGAAAATCTAGAAGAAATGGATAAATTTCTGGACACATACACCCTCCCAAGACTAAACCAGGAAGAAGTTGAATCCCTGAATAGACCAATAACAGGCTCTGAAATTGAGGCAATAATTAATAGCCTACCAACCAAAAAAAGTCCAGGACCAGAAGGATTCACAGCTGAATTCCACCGTAGGTACAAAGAGGAGCTGGTACCATTCCTTCTGAAACTATTCCAGTCAATAGAAAAAGAGGGAATCCTCCCTAAATCATTTTATGAGGCCAGCATCATCCTGATACCAAAGCCTGGCAGACACACAACAAAAAAATTGAATTTTAGAACAATATCCCTAATGAATATCGATGTGAAAATCCTCAGTGAAATACTGGCAAACTGAATCCAGCAGCACATCAAAAAGCTTATCCATCAAGATCAAGTTGGCTTCATCCCTCGGATGCAAGATTGGTTCAACATATGCAAATCAATAAACACAATCCATCATATAAACAGAACCGAAGACAAAAACCACATGATGATCTCAATAGGTGCAGAAAAGGCCTTCAACAAAATTCAACAGCCCTTCATGCTAAAAACTCTCAATAAACTAGGTATTGATGGGACGGATCTCAAAATAATAAGAGCTATTTATGACTAACCCACAGCCAATATCATACTGAATGGGCAAAAACTGGAAACATTCCCTTTGAAAACGGGCACAAGACAGGGATGCCCTCTGTCAGCACTCCTATTCAACATAGTGTTGGAAGTTCTGGCCAGGGCAATCAGGCAGGAGAGAGAAATAAAGGGTATTCAATTAGGAAAAGAGGAAGTAAAATTGTCCCTGTTTGCTGATGACATGATTGTGTATTTAGAAAACTCCATTGTCTCAGCCCTAAATCTCCTTAAGCTGATAAGCAACTTCAGAAAATTCAAACCTCTTAAGGAGGGTGAAATCAAGTCAGCCTGAAGCAATACAAAGCTAATAACCAAGGACCCCAGAGCCTCCAGTCTTTCTATTTCTTGGCTTGTCTCTCTCTCTTTTATTTTGAATGTTGGCTTCATTTTTGTCTTTTATAAGCATGGTGCTATACACAGAAGGAAGCATGACCCCTATCACATTGGTGTTAGTTTATGAAAACATCTGCATCCACAAAGGAAAAGGCTCTCCTTAGAAAAGTTTCTTACTGGCTCAATTTATGTCATGTCATTTTAGTGAGTATATGTACAGTGGAACAATGCTAACCCCTTGCCTTCGCAAAGTAGAAGGAAGCAGACACATGCTCATTGAGGGAATCATTGTATCACAGATACAACCTCAGCATGTGCCTTCTAGAAAAAAATTAACATGAGGAAAGAACATAAATAAGGAAAAGAACTGAAAAAGAATATACCAAAAATTTCACGTGACTTTTATTAGAGGTGGGCGTGTCTCTTAAAAAAATAAAGACAAAACCAACAAAATGAATAAGAACCCTCCCTAATTGGCTATTTTCTATGTTTTCTACAATGCACATATATTTTGTACTATTCTTTTTAGTTGTACCATATAATATCTCACAAATACTTAAAACAAATGCAAGATAATATAAAAATATCAATGCATCATAGATATGGCAACATAAAGATGGGTACTAAGATAGGAGTTGCTTAGTGGCGTGTGAGCATTTTTAGGTACTTCTATGCCAAACCACTTTTTGTCCAACAGAATAATGATGCAGCTGGGTAGGAAGGTAGGCAGAAATACATGACATATGACATATGACATAAATTTAACAGAAACACAAACCCCTCATCTCCACTATTTGACAAATGTAGAAAAATAATACATGTGCAATTATTTCCCAGCTAATACAGGTATAAACTTCTTTGGAGGTGGGAAATTAAAATAAAATGGGGTGACACATAATTCAGACTTACCATTCAAATTTACATAGACTAAATTAGCATCCTTAAAAATTACCTTTCTCCATAACATGATTATGATGACTCAGTTTTTGGACTTCATTAGTCAAATCCAGATTATTACAGTACCAGTAGCAGGAGATTCCACGTAGTCTATCCTGTATAGTGAAGTGAATAACAACTTTTTTTTTCAGATTTTGGAGATTATCAGAACATGTCAATTATCTTGAAACATGCCCATCCAGCATATCAAAGGTTAACATTCTGATGAGTTGGCTTTTCTGATGGATTCTTAGCGTTTATGTCTATAAATCTACATTATAGATCACTTACCTCCTCATATTAAAATAGTAAGACCTTTTACCTAAATGTCAGGAAAAATCAATGATAATGATGAGTTGGCACACTTTTTCTCAGTGAGTTTTAGAGCCTCAGTTAAGCTCTCTAAATAATATGAAAAGTAATTTTGTGATAATTTGTTCAGCTCTGGCATTACACACTAAATTCCTATGAAATGCAAATATACTTTTTGACACTTCCTTATTAAGGTATATGCTGTTTACTTGGAAAGAGTAACGTTTGTGGTGATATACTCATTTATTTATTTCTTATACCCTAGGGTTGGTGGCAGGTCAAGGGTGACCTTCCTTAACTACTGAAAATAAGAGAATCACTCCTTAATGAGATATTTTAGAGTCCATGAGATTGAGAAAAATGATTTACCTTACAAGAAGAATTGTTCCCTTATAACTTATACATTAGAACAATCTTGTCTTGCTAGATAGTGAAACATAGAAATATTTAGTAGAAAATCCACCCTTATCTCTACCCTGTTATTAGTGGCAAGTAGAGAATATAGCCACTGTGGTGTTATTCTAATGGGCAAACAGAGAAGAAATGGAACTAGAAGCTAACTTTGAGAATGTACCTAAAGCCCAGGAGCCTTAATGTTCAGATGACTTAATCCCAGGAATCTTGTATTCCTGATTCTACAGTTTTCTCCATGGATAAGGTATAAGCGGAAAAAGAACAAAACAGTATCTGAATAATCCTGCCCAGATACCCTCAGCCCCTATTTAGGATCTCTCACCTGCTTCCAGAGACTCAGGAGCCAGAAATCAATATCTTAGAATCAAATCTTTAAAAATTTAAGATAGATTAATTGTTCAAAATTTCCCAATGGCATCTCTTCTTTTTAAGAGCAAGTAAGAATCCTGTAGTGACATAAAAGACCCAATAAAATCTCTCTCAACCCTTCAATGTCTCACCTTCTATTTTATCTCTTATTACTCTCACTTTCTCTTATGCTTTCTGCTTTCAGAGTCTGTCACTTCCTTATTATTTCCAAAACATGCCAGTAATGTTCCAATCTCATGATTTTTGCTACCTCTTCTGCCTAGTGTATTCTTCCTGCAGACACTGTCAGATTCTGTCACCTTTTTCAGATCATTGCTTAAAGATCAACTTCTTAATCAGGCTTTCCCTAAGAAAACAATTTAAAATTGCAATACCCCACAATGTCTCCAACACTTGTTATCCAATCCTGCTGTTTATTTATTAAGGCTTATCTGACATATGATAGGTCTTAGATGAGATTTTGCCAATAGCAGACATGGAGACAGAAGTTTGAGTGCAAATAATTTATGAGAAAAGTGATCCCAGAAATCACTAGTAGAGGAAAAGAGAAGTGAAACAGAGAAAGAAAGGACATTAATACAGGATGCATTAAAGAGCAGGTTACTGCTGTGGCCAACTGGGGCTCAAATGTCATGAAAACATCTGGGGAACCTGAGAGAAAATACCTGAGTTGTCCCATACAAGCCCTGAGAAAACTGTAGTATTTAACTGTCAATTTATTAATGGTGTTTTCAATAAGAAACCATCAGATTTGGACACACAGGAAAAGCACTGGCTACTAACCTTATCTGCTACAGAGCACCCTTTGCATGACTAAGAGCTACTCATTGCCCACATTAAGTTCATTTAATTTAACTGCTACTGATTCTTTAAGATGATGGTGAGTCATATATCTAATAAATGAATCAAATGCTAAAAATAAAGCAAAAGTGTTACAGGGAAAAGCTACAGATCCCCACTATTGCAACTGGTTGCTTGACAAGTGGGGTAAGCTAGAGCATTCTGGGAGGGACTGGGCTCCTATTGCCATGTCCTATCTGGCTTCAGATGCTTCAATCAACCTTTCAAGGCTATCACCAAAGCAAAAACACCAAGAGTCATCCCAGCAAAATCACTGAATTCATACAACCTCTTCCTTGCACCAGTAAGCAGCAACAATCTTTTAGACTCTAATGATAATAAAGATCAATTACCCTGCTGGTGTACCTACTTCCCTTCTTTCCCTAATAGCCCAAGAGAACCTCAAACAGCCACCACAGCATTAGTTTGCCTTCTGTTGTTACAGAAGTTTTTCCTATCACCTCAAGAACCAAAATATTTAATCGCATCACTTCTGAAGATATAGGGGTGGGAAACACATATTCTGTAATATGTAATATGTGAAGAGTTGTGAGAGTGGTCATCCCTGCCTCCTGCATTTGGCGTCTGGACCATTTTAATCTAGCTATAAGGGACACAGAATCATGTCATAGGCTTTTTAAAAATATATGTACTGCATATTGATGAATAGCAGGATGTAATCCTTAAGACAGTGTCCTAGCTGGGCCTTGAAAAGGTCATTCCAGAGTTTTATCCGATTGCCAATTTGTGATTTTGAATACTCAATGACACTAGTATTTTCTGAGTTATTTCATGTGTAAATGTGGTTTAGTAATATTAACGTGATGTAGCCTTGCTTTCCATAAATTAAATATCTTCTATCTGGGCCTCGTTTTCCCTACTATATAAAGGAAGAAGATTGACCTAGGTGATTTATAAAAACTTTTTTAGTTCTCATTTATTTTCTTTTTTATCCAGATAAGCAGAAAGCTATTTCTGCATCATTTTGATATTTGTACTATAGAGAAAGTGCATATCCAATGAACTTGAGCTGGTGATGTCCACTACGTGGTAATAGTATGAACCCAGATGGTAATTTCTCATATGAAATACCTTATACATTTATATCTACTTGAACTGGCTTGGTGTACATTTCTAAGACAAATCTTTAAAATTATAGGAGTATTAGATTCCAGAAAGAAACTGTTAAAGTTAATGAAATATAATAATGATGGTGAGTAAGTTAATTCTGTAAATAATTCAACATATCAACAGCTGGTAATGGCCATATTTATTATTTTATTATTATTCTCTATATTTTCTCAAAAAGGTATTGACTTGTGAAAAAAACACTAAAGTATATGATTCATAACACTATATAAAAGTTGAATTAGATAATTTTCTGAACATTTATGAAACCTAAAACATCTTAGAGTATTTTTGTAATTTCAGTCTTGATTAAAGAGCTAGAAAACCCATTTTCTAAATAAATTTTGCTCTGCTATTCCAAGTTATCTGATTGCACATCTGAAGTAGTAAATACCACCAAGGACAGACACATCCTTATACTTATAGACAGATGAAATATCCTTACGTATGAACATAGAAACCCAATATGAATAATTTATTGTCAGAATTAGTGGTAGATCTAACTTATCGCAATAGGTGAGTCGAGCCTTGAACTACTAACTAGTGATAAGAATTATAAGGTTAATGATCTTGGAACTTTGCAATAATCTTTTTAGTCTAAAAATAAAATGATTGTTACCAAAAGCTTCAAGGAACATTCACACGATGGAATTAAGAGTTAGGTTACAGAAAGTAAACTGAGTAGTAGAAATAAAATGGCTTAGAATTAAGCATAGAGTGCCGAGATTATTATTAAGATTTTTTGACTGATGTTCTAGATTCATTTATTCATTCAACAATTATGTATTAAGTTTCTGATATGTGCCTAGCATCCTTCTAGATATTGGGGATATGATAGTAATAAAAACAATAATCTTTGTCACCCATGGGTCTTATAGACTGAAAGGGTCAGACAGGTAGAAACAGATATATTTTATATTTAATATATTTTTAAGTACATATTAGCAAAATACATAGTATGGAATGTGATATGATAAAGACTATAAAAAATAGCTGTTTATTCTGTTGATAATTTCTCTTGCTGCGTAGAAGCTCTTTAGTTTAATTAGGTTCCACTTGTCAAGTTCTGTTTTTGTTGCAACTGATTCTGAGGACTTAGCCATGAATTCTTTGCCAAGGCTGATATTGAGAAGCATATTTCCTAGGTTGTCTTCTAGGATTTTTATAGTTGAAGTTTTACATTTAAGTCTTCAATCCATCTTGAGTTAATTTTTATATATGGTGATAGGTAGGAGTACAGATTCATTCTTCTGCATATGGATAGCCAGTTATCCCGGCACCATTTGTTGAGTTGGATAATTGGAGAAAATATTCACAAACCATGTATCCAACAAAGGTCTAATATTCGGAATCTATAAGGAACTTAACAAAATAACAAGCAAAAAACCTCAACCCTATTAAAAAGGAGACAAAGACATGAACAGACACTTCTCAAAAGAAGACATACAAGTGGCAACAAACATATGAAAACATGCTTCTCATTATTAATTATCAGAGAAATGCCAATCAAAATGACAATGAGATATCATCTCATGCCAGTCAGTGTGGCTTTTGTTAAAAAGTAAAAAAAAAAAAAACAATGTTGGCAAGGCTATGGAGAAAAGAGAACACCTATACGCTGCTGGTGGGAACGTAAATTAATTCAGCAACTGCGGAGAACAGTTTGGTGATTTCTCAAAAAACTAAGAGTTGAACTACCATTCAACCCAGAAATCTCATAACTAGGTACATATCAATGAATGAATCAGTCTACCAAAAAGATACGTGTACCTGTATCATTCTACCAAAAAGACAAATGCACATTGCATACAGTGAATGTTGCACTATTCACAATAGCAAAGATGTGGAATCAACCCAGATGCCCATCAATACTGTGTTGAATAAAGAAAATGCGGTACAACATACACCATGGGATTCTATGCAGCCATAAAAAGAATGAAACTGTGTTCTTTGCAGCAATATGGATGCAACTGGAAACCATTATCCTACTCACTAATGCAGAAACAGAAAACCAAATGCTCCATGTTCTCACTTATAAGTGGGAGATAAATATTAGGTAAAAGTGGAGATAAAGATGGGAACAGTAGACACTGAGGAATATAAGAGAGAGGAGAGAGTAAGGAGGACAAAGTTAGAAAAACTACCTATTGGAAGATGGATTTAGTCATACTTTAAACCTCAGCATTATGCAATATGTCTTTTTAAATAATTCTGCACATGTACCCCATGATTCTAAAATAAAAGTTATAAAAAGGATGAAAAATAAAAATGAAACAGGAATAAATGCAGTAAATGGAGAGTGTTTGGGATTTTGTTAAAGCAGTCAATAAAGACCACATTGAGTGATGTGAATAAAGGTCTCAAGAGGCAAAGCAATAAGTCGTGAAGCTGGGCAGATACGCAGAAAAAAAGTGATCCTGGCCATAAGAAGATGATGTGCAAAGGATCTACAAAGGAAGCATTCTTGGTATCTTCCAGGACATCAAGAAAGACAAGCATAGTGCGAGTGAGTGAGCAAGGAGAAGAATCATGGGAGCCAAGGTTAGTCAGGAAGCTAACAAGAGAACAGATCAAAGGAGACCTTCAAGTTCATCCTCTACTCAGAGTAAGGCAGGAAGCCACTGGAAGATTTTGAGTAAAGAAAATCAACATGATCTGATCCAAATGTTAACATGATGATTCTCATTGTTGTGTTAAGGATAGACAGAAAAAGACTTAGGCAGGAATAGAACAGGTTAGGAGGCTATAGCCATAATCAAGTCATGAGAGACTGGTCCAAGTGAGTGTTACAATGATAGCGATGAGAATTGGTTTTATTAACTAGGCATTTTGAAAATAGAGAAAAATTGATTTTTGGGGAGAGAGATGGAGATGTCATTTAATTATATTGGAAAAAACGCTGCTCTCGAGGAGCCAAGATGGCCGAATAGGAACAGCTCCGGTATACAGCTCCCAGAGTGAGTGACGCAGAAGACGGGTGATTTCTGCATTTCCATCTGAGGTACCGGGTTCATCTCACTAGGGAGTGCCAGACAGTGGGCGCAGGTCAGTGGGTGCGCACACCGTGCGCGAGCCGAAGCAGGGCGAGGCATTGCCTCACTTGGGAAGCGCAAGGGTCAGGGAGTTCCTTTTCCGAGTCAAAGAAAGGGGTGACGGATGCACCTGGAAAATCGGGTCACTCCCACCCAAATACTGCGCTTTTCAGACCGGCTTAAAAAACGGCGCACCACGAGATTATATCCCGCACCTGGATCCGAAGGTCCTACGCCCACGGAGTCTCGCTGATTGTTAGCACCGCAGTCTGAGATCAAACTGCAAGGCGGCAGGGAGGCTGGGGAAGGGGCGGCCGCCATTGCCCAGGCTTCCTTAGGTAAACAAAGCAGCCGGGAAGCTCGAACTGGGTGGAGCCCACCACAGCTCAAGGAGGCCTGCCTGCCTCTGTAGGCTCCACCTCTGGGGTCAGGGCACAGACAAACAAAAAGACAGCAGTAACCTCTGCAGACTTAAATGTCCCTGTCTGACAGCTTTGAAGAGAGCAGTGGTTCTCCCAGCACGCAGCTGGAGATCTGAGAACGGGCAGACTGCCTCCTCAAGTGGGTCCCTGACCCCTGACCCCCGAGCAGCCTAACTGGGAGGCACCCCCCAGCAGGGGCACACTGACACCTCACACGGCAGGGTATTCCAACAGACCTGCAGCTGAGGGTCCTGTCTGTTAGAAGGAAAACTAACAAACAGAAAGGACATCCACACCAAAAACCCATCTGTACATCACCATCATCAAAGACCAAAAGTAGATAAAACCACAAAGATGGGGAAAAAACAGAACAGAAAAACTGGAAACTCTAAAAAGCAGAGCGCCTCTCCTCCTCCAAAGGAACGCAGTTCCTCACCAGCAACGGAACAAAGCTGGATGGAGAATGACTTTGACGAGCTGAGAGAAGAAGGCTTCAGATAATCAAATTCCTCTGAGCTACGGGAGGACATACAAACCAAAGGCAAAGAAGTTGAAAACTTTGAAAAACATTTAGAAGAATGTATAACTAGAATAACCAATACAGAGAAGTGCTTAAAGGAGCTGAAGGAGCTGAAAACTAAGGCTCGAGAACTACGTGAAGAATGCAGAAGCCTCAGGAGCCGATGCGATCAACTGGAAGAAAGGGTATCAGCAATGGAAGATGAAATGAATGAAATGAAGCGAGAAGGGAAGTTTAGAGAAAAAAGAATAAAAAGAAATGAGCAAAGCCTCCAAGAAATATGGGACTATGTGAAAAGACCAAATCTACGTCTGATTGGTGTACCTGAAAGTGATGGGGAGAATGGAACCAAGTTGGAAAACACTCTGCAGGATATTATCCAGGAGAACTTCCCCAATCTAGCAAGGCAGGCCAACATTCAGATTCAGGAAATACAGAGAACGCCACAAAGATACTCCTCGAGAAGAGCAACTCCAAGACACATAATTGTCAGATTCACCAAAGTTGAAATGAAGGAAAAAATGTTAAGGGCAGCCAGAGAGAAAGGTTAGGTTACCCACAAAGGGAAGCCCATCAGACTAACAGCAGATCTCTCAGCAGAAACCCTACAAGCCAGAAGAGAGTGGGGGCCAATATTCAACATTCTTAAAGAAAAGAATTTTCAACCCAGAATTTCATATCCAGCCAAACTAAGCTTCATAAGTGAAGGAGAAATAAAATACTTTACAGACAAGCAAATGCTGAGAGATTTTGTCACCACCAGGCCTGCCCTAAAAGAGCTCCTGAAGGAAGCACTAAACATGGAAAGGAACAACCGGTACCAGCTGCTGCAAAATCATGCCAAAATGTAAAGACCATCGAGACTAGGAAGAAACTGCATCAACTAACGAGCAAAATCACCAGCTAACATCATAATGACAGGATCAAATCACACATAACAATATTAACTTTAAATGTAAATGGACTAAATGCTCCAATTAAAAGACACAGACTGGCAAATTGGATAAAGAGTCAAGACCCATCAGTATCCTGAATTCAGGAAACCCATCTCACGTGCAGAGACACACATAGCCTCAAAATAAAAGGATGGAGGAAGACCTACCAAGCAAATGGAAAACAAAAAGAGGCATGGGTTGCAATCCTAGTCTCTGATAAAACAGACTTTAAACCAACAAAGATCAAAAGAGACAAAGAAGGCCATTACATAATGGTAAAGGGATCAATTCAACAAGAAGAGCTAAGTATCCTAAATATATATGCAACCAATACAGGAGCACCCAGATTCATAAAGCAAGTCCTGAGTGACCTACAAAGAGACTTAGACTCCCACACATTAATAATGGGAGACTTTAACACCCCACTGTCAATATTAGACAGATCAATGAGACAGAAAGTCAACAAGGATACCCAGGAATTGAACTCAGCTCTGCACCAAGCGGACCTAATAGACATCTACAGAAGTCTCCACCCCAAATCAACAGAATATACATTTTTTTCAGCACCACACCACACCTATTCCAAAATTGACCACATACTTGGAAGTAAAGCACTCCTCAGCAAATGTAAAAGAACAGAAATTATAACAAACTATCTCTCAGACCACAGTGCAATCAAACTAGAACTCAGGATTAAGAATCTCACTCAAAACTGCTCAACTACATGGAAGCTGAACAACCTGCTCCTGAATGACTACTGGATTCATAACGAAATGAAGGCAGAAATAAAGATGTTCTTTGAAACCAACGAGAACAAAGACACAACATACCAGAATCTCTGGGACACATTCAAAGCAGTGTGTAGAGGGAAATTTATAGCACTAAATGCCCACAAGAGAAAGCAGGAAAGATCCAAAATTGACACCCTAACATCACAATTAAAAGAACTAGAAAAGCAAGAGCAAACACATTCAAAAGCTAGCAGAAGGCAAGAAATAACTAAAATCAGAGCAGAACTGAAGGAAATAGAGACACAAAAAACCCTTCAAAAATTTAATGAATCCAGGAGCTGGTTTTTTGAAAGGAACAACAAAATTGATAGACCGCTAGCAAGACTAGTAAAGAAAAAAAGAGAGAAGAATCAAATAGACACAATAAAAAATGATAAAGGGGATATCACCACCGATCCCACAGAAATACAAACTATCATCAGAGAATACTACTAACACCTCTACACAAATAAACTAGAAAATCTAGAAGAAATGGATGAATTCCTGGACACATATACTCTCCCAAGACTAAACCAGGAAGAAGTTGAATTCCTGAATAGACCAATAACAGGAGCTGAAATTGTGGCAATAATCAATAGTTTACCAACCAAAAAGAGTCCAGGACCAGATGGATTCACAGCCGAATTCTAACAGAGGTACAAGGAGGAACTGGTACCATTCCTTCTGAAACTATTCCAATCCATAGAAAAAAAGGGAATCCTCCCTAACTCATTTTATGAGGCCAGCATCATTCTGATACCAAAGCCGGGCAGAGACACAACGAAAAAAGAGAATTTTAGACCAATATCCTTCATGAACTTTGATGCAAAAATCCTCAATAAAATACTGGCAAACCGAATCCAGCAGCACATCAAAAAGCTTATCCACCATGATCAAGTGGGCTTCATCCCTGGGATGCAAGGCTGGTTCAATATACGCAAATCAATAAATGTAATCCAGCATATAAACAGAGCCAAAGACAAAAACCACATGATTATCTCAATAGATGCAGAAAAAGCCTTTGACAAGATTCAACAACCCTTCATGCTAAAAACTCTCAATAAATTAGGTATTGATGGGACGTATTTCAAAATAATAAGAGCTATCTATGACAAACCCACAGCCAATATCATACTGAATGGGCAAAAACTGGAAGCATTCCCTTTGAAAACTGGCACAAGACAGGGATGCCCTCTCTCACCACTCCTATTCAACAGAGTGTTGGAAGTTCTGGCCAGGGCAATTAGGCAGGAGAAGGAAATAAAGGGTATTCAATTAGGAAAAGAGGAAGTCAAATTGTCCTTGTTTGCAGACGACATGATTGTATATCTAGAAAACCCCATTGTCTCAGCCCAAAATCTCCTTAAGCTGATAAGCAACTTCAGCAAAGTCTCAGGATACAAAATCAATGTACAAAAATCACAAGCATTCTTATACAGCAACAACAGACAAACAGAGAGCCAAATCATGAGTGAACTCCCATTCACAATTGCTTCAAAGAGAATAAAATACCTAGGAATCCAACTTACAAGGGATGTGAAGGACCTCTTCAAGGAGAACTACAAACCACTGCTCAATGAAATAAAAGAGGATACAAACAAATGGAAGAACATTCCATGCTCATGGGTAGGAAGAATCAATATAGTGAAAATGGCCATACTGCCCAAGGTAATTTACAGATTCAATGCCATCCCCATCAAGCTACCAATGACTTTCTTCACAGAATTGGAAAAAACTACTTTAAAGTTCATATAGAACCAAAAAAGAGCCCACATCGCCAAGGCAATCCTAAGCCAAAAGAACAAAGCTGGAGGCATCACACTACCTGACTTCAAACTATACTACAAGGCTACAGTAACCAAAACAGCATGGTACTGGTACCAAAACAGAGATATAGATCAATGGAACAGAACAGAGCCCTCAGAAATAATGCCGCTTATCTACAACTATCTGATCTTTGACAAACCTGAGAAAAACAAGCAATGGGGAAAGGATTCCCTATTTAATAAATGGTGCTGGGAAAACTGGCTAGCCATATGTAGAAAGCTGAAACTGGATCCCTTCCTTACACCTTATACAAAAATCAATTCAAGGTGGATTAAAGACTTAAACATTAGACCTAAAACCATAAAAACCGTAGAAGAAAACCTAGGCATTACCATTCAGGACATAGGCATGGGCAAGGACTTCATGTCCAAAACATCAAAAGCAATGGCAACAAAAGCCAAAATTGACAAATGGGATCTCATTAAACTAAAGAGCTTCTGCACAGCAAAAGAAACTACCATCAGAGTGAACAGGCAACCTACAAAATGGGAGAAAATTTTCACAACCTACTCATCTGACAAAGGGCTAATATCCAGAATCTACAATGAACTCAAACAAATTTACAAGAAAAAAACAAACAACCCCATCAAAAAGTTGGTGAAGGACATGAACAGACACTTTTCAAAAGAAGACATTTATGCAGCCAAAAAACACATGAAAAAATGCTCATCATCACTGGCCATCAGAGAAATGCAAATCAAAACCACAATGAGATACCATCTCACACCAGTTAGAATGGCAATGATTAAAAAGTCAGGAAACAACAGGTGCTGGAGAGGATGTGGAGAAATAGGAACACTTTTACACTGTTGGTGGGGCTGTAAACTAGTTCAACCATTGTGGAAGTCAGTGTGGCGATTCCTTAGGGATTTAGAACTAGAAATACCATTTGACCCAGCCATCCCATTACTGGGTATATACCCAAAGGACTATAAATCATGCTGCTATAAAGACACATGCACACGTATGTTTATTGCGGCATTAGTCACAATAGCAAAGACTTGGAACCAACCCAAATGTCCAACAATGATAGACTGGATTAAGAAAATGTGGCACATATACACCATGGAATACTATGCAGCCATAAAAAATGATGAGTTCATGTCCTTTGTAGGGTCATGGATGAAATTGGAAATCATCATTCTCAGTAAACTATCGCAAGAACAAAAAACCAAACACCACATATTCTCATTCATAGGTGGGAATTGAACGATGAGATCACATGGACACAGGAAGGGGAATATCACACTCTGGGGACTGTGGTGGGGTGGGGGGAGGGGGCGGATAGCATCAGGAGATATACCTAATGCTAGATGAGGAGTTAGTGGGTGCAGCGCACCAGCATGGCACATGTATACATATGTAACTAACCTGCACAATGTGCACATGTACCCTGAAACATAAAGTATAATTAAAAAAAAAGAAAAAACATGTTTGAAGGTAACAAAAGAGTTTAAGTGTGATATTCTAAATCTTGGGTGCTTACTTGTCAATCAGTTGGAAATAAGGATCAAGTAGTTGTCTAAATTGATCTGGATTACACAAAAGTACGTAAGAGCGTGGATATAGTATTTAAAGCATTAAAGTGTGAAATAACCAAAGGAATAGATACAGACAGAGGGGAAAAAAAGGCTGCAGTAACATTAGAGTTTGAAAGATATCATGAAATAGCCCTTTCCTTTTTAAATTATAGTCTTTACATTTAAAACATCACTTGATCTCACAGTCGATAGCTGAGCCAATAAAGTAGCTCTTCATCTTCTAGTTTTTAGTTAATAATTTAGTCATGTTCAGCTATCACAATAATTCAACTATCATTTAATAATTCAGTAAAATTTCAAAATGGGTTTTTTTAATGCTCTCAGTTCACCCTTAGGGTAAATAATCTATACAGTGTGCATAGCATAATCAGGAAGGAGCAAACATACTTTGAATCTCGAATGAAAGCCACCAAGAATATATGCTCCAAATAACTTTCCATCATTGGATTCAGGAATCATTACGTGCAATGTTAATGTGTGAGAATATGCAAATTCATGATTTCTACAACATTTTTTCCTATATTTAACTCACAGGTGTAACAGGCAGAAAAACAATATTTAGTATTTTTCTAGGAATAAGAGTGACAAGTTTTAAATTTTGCAGGTTTTAAAAAATTATTATGGTCATACAGGCAAAAAGTCAGTTTGCCAGAAAGAAATAGATGGCATACTCAAAGTGCGTAATTTGAGGCAGAGTTTAATAAAGAAGCAAAAGTGACAGCTAAGATTCAGAGTGGAAACTTGGTAAAGTCATAAAACGAGTAACGTGTGTAGTGATCATTAACTTTTAACCCTTTCTGAACATAAAGTTCACAGATTTAAGATAGTATCACACTTTCACATATACCCTCACTGTTTGAACAAGTCAATTGAATTTTCCAAATTTTTCAATTTTTTTTCCAATTGAACAATTTGGGAAAACAAAGTCCAAATCTCAAAACCTTTCAGCAGACCAATTTATGTACATAAAACTTTGGAGGTTAATGTTTCAGAGTAAAAATCTGTTGCTCTATTAGAAAAGAACAATAAAGGTCAGGGTCTGCATGGTATTTAATACAGTTATAATTACTTATGAGAACAGTGTCTAAAATATTTAATTTTTTTACATTTATGGGAAATAGAAACTTTCTTACCAAATATGTTGGCAGTTAATGAGGGAGACTGATAGTTAATTATAACAACTGAGATATTTCAAAGGTGTAAGGGCATGTTCTAAATAATGATGCTAGGAACTTGCACCATGAGTGCTTGTGGTCGCTGTGCTTGATGTACTTCCTCAGGGCTTCATGTCTTTGACATCTCCTTTCTCTTTCCACTATCCTAATTCAGCCTTATTTCAGAGTCAGAGTCAGTCACCTCTCAGAGCTGGGCCACGAATCAGACATGTACGTACAATGTCCTCAGCATCCATAGATGAAGGAACTCTTACATACAAGGAGATTGCAGGGGTTCGTTATTTCTCTAATCTTGTCTGGGTATACTCACCATGCCTCATATCCTCATTATCATTCTTCATCATCCAATATAAAAGATCATCCACCCTTCTATCTTTTCCTACATTGTTATTTGTGTAATGCTTTGAGATTCCTTTCCCTGACCAAACTTACAAATTTCTTACTACCATTTCTCGTAACTGAAAAAATTCTAGAAGAATCTAAATGTGTGTATCTCCTCCCGTAGTTAGCAGTGAAATTACTTTAAGATGGTCAGTAGTACAATGCTTGAATTAGTGCAAGCTCATAGGCCTAATTTTGTAAAATATAGATTTGAATTTTAAGCATGTTGGGTTGGTGAGGCAGACTTAGAGATAAGTACTTAGAATCACAGGAAAACCCAGTTAGTGTCACAAAAGTGAAATACAGCACTTCCTCTTGGGGGCAACCCGATGAGGTAGAAACTCATTGCTCATGCTGCCATTGTCAAGACTTGCTAGCAGAAACACCGTCTCGCCGTTCTTCCAGGCATCTTAGACAATTCAAGTATACTGAGGTGAGGTTTTAAATGCTACCCTTTTGCTTCCTTATTGCATACTAAGCACCAATGGATAGATTAGAGTAGGAAGGGTGCTCTCTACCTAAATGCCAAGAGCTTTCTTTGTCTTATTGGCAAAGGCAAGGTGGGGGTAGTACATGACAGTATAAGTATTTTTGAGGAAACAATGATCAAACTGTAATTTAGATTTGTCCAAAGACTTATACTAAATAGGTTTTCCTACCACTTCTGCTTCTTCACTAAATGTCTCACTGACATCCTTACTGCTGCTGGAAACTAGCTCTTCCCTTAAGATTGCACTCCCATTGAGGCCCAGTGAATGAAAACTGTCCAATTTGTCCTTAGTCACCTTATGTTACTATAGCAGAATTACACATATTTGCTAATTGATAACAGAAATTTATTTCTCACAGTTCTGGAGGCTGAGAACTGCAGGTCATGGTACTGGCAGGTTTGATGTCTGCTAAGGTCCCAGTTTCCTTTTCCAAGATTATACCATGATTGCTCCACCCTGCAGAGGGGAGAAATGCTGTTCCTCATGTGGCAGAGTAACAGAAGAGAGAGAAGCCCCTCCCGCAATCCTTTTTTATAGCAGCACGAATGCATTCATGAGGGTAGAGCGCTCATAATCTAAACATCTCCAATTAGGCCCACCGCCCAACTCTGTTGCACTGGGAATTAAGCTTCTAATGTAGGGATTTGAAAGGGACAAGATCATTTGAACATAGCAGAAATGGTCTTTGGACAGCTAACTCTAAATCACAACATTTTTTTCATGATACCTTCAGAAATATTCATCTTAAATGAGTATTTCCAGCCACCTCAGCTTCTTCCTTAAATGTCCTATTTACATTTCCACTACAACTGGAAACTAGGTCTTCCTTTAGACTGCAGTCCCATTGATGTCACATCTAGTGAAAGCTATTTAATCTCTCATTCACCATATTCTATAACACATGGTTTGCGACTGGAGGTTGGCACACTCTTCCCTCCCCGTGTTAATTTTGGACTATTACTTGGCCACTCAAATACAAAACTGTGCTCCTTTTAAAGTTAACGTAACATGGCTGTGTCAATCACCTCTTTTTATAGGTGTTATCTTCTGAACTCTACGTGACAATTTATTATCCATTGAATGTTTTCGTATTTGGGTCATTATTTGACTCTTCTTCCAATATCTTCTAATATCGATAGAAGATAGGAAAATTCTATGGATTTGTTTCTCAGTTCTTTGTCCTTTTATGTCTAATGCTCTTATTTAAGTCTACATTTGCCAGCCATTTTGCTGTGTCCTCAAAATTCATTCACCTCTGACACAGAGATTCTAGACAACCAGTTACCACTACTTTTCATTCTTCCTTTTTACGTCGTTACCACTTTACACGTGGTCTTCTAAGCATTGAGTCCTTTCTTATATTACCTAACAGTGTTTCTCTACCCTCCTCAATCTTTTTTGTTTGTTTCCATGAACTGTTACCTAAAAACATTTAATAATTAGTTAAACCCGTTATAACACACATCTCTTATTAGATGTTATCAGAGGTTGGGGTACTCTAGATACAGAGATATGGCCTCTTATAAATTGATTTATTGGGAAGTACTCAGAGGAACAACATCTTTAGAGGAGTGCGGGGAAAAAAAAGGAATGGGTCAAATAAAGATCAATTGCAGTGTTGTTGCAATGAAGTACTAGTTGCTCATCCCGTGAACTTTGAAGTTTAGATGACCCTGCAGAGCTCAAATTGAGATAATAGGTCTTGGCCTCTATATATCCACCATCTTCATCATCAGCCAGACTCAAGTTTGAACACGTTTAAGAGTTTTAGTAGCCATACACATATTCTTCTTGCTGAAGTAATAAACTTTGTCTAATTTCTATTGTTATTTTTTCTCGTTAAATCATTTTAATGTACTTCTATGTGATATAAATATTTTCAATCTATCACTAGTATTTCACAATTTTTTCTGTTATTTTTCAAGTTTGTTTATGATATATTTGGAAAAATTAAATAACTATAAAAATAAGATATTTATGTAGTCAAATATCCAGCTTTACGAAATTATAAATTGGTGTTTACAGTCTTACGGGAAAAGATTTTCCCAAGCACTGGGTAATAGATATTTTCTAAAATTTGAGTTTTGGTATTTTAGCCCTCATTAAAACACAAACCTACTTTTATCTGTGGTAAAATGATTGTACCCTTAATTTTATTCTTGGTACCTGGGCAAATATTCATGCACAGTGATTAACAAATATTTTATAATCCTGATATATGCTAAATTATAGGACTCTCTTCTTGACAGATAAAATTGTCTTTCAAGGCTGGGCATGGTGGCTTACGCCTGTAATCCCAGCACTTTGGGAAGCTGAGGTGAAAGAATTGCTTGAGCCCAGGAGTTCAAGACCAGCCTGGGCAACATAGTGAGACCGCAACTCTTAAAAAAATTGTCTTTCAAAATAAGGATTACTTTTTAAAGGATCTTCGTAGTTATTGGTGTTTTGTAAGGTTCAAGTTTATTCCTCTAAATAAACCCTGCATAAAAGTTTTAAATGCGTACATTATTAAATAACTAAAAGCTTAAAGTAAACCTCTTTTTTTTTTTTAGAGACGGAGTCTCACACTGTTGCCCAGGCTGGAGTGCAGTGGCGCGATCTAGTCTCACTGCAAGCTCCGCCTCCCAGGTTCACGCCATTCTCCTGCCTCAGCCTCCCGAGTAGCTGGGACTACAGGCCGCCACTACGCCCAGCTAATTTTTTTGTATTTTTAGTAGAGATGGGGTTTCACCATGTTAGCCAGGATGGTCTCGATCTCCTGAGCTCGTGATCCACCCGCCTCGGCCTCCCAAAGTGCTGGGATTGGAGGCGTGAGCCACCATGCCCGGCCGTAAACCTCTTATGTTTTAAAAAACTATTGAAATAACAAAAACATAAGCAAAAAAAGTAGAAAATGGGAATTAAAAATTTTTAAAGCTAAAATCAATGAAACAAAAATTTAAAAAGATAAGACAATTAACCTTTTTTTTACAGAAAAGAATTTTTTTTCAAAATAGAAAATGAATAAATAATAACTACCTATGAGAAGAACTTAAAAAAATTATAAAAGAACATCAAGTGCAATGTTATTTTAAAAAGAAAAAGGGAATTACAATGCTAGAAAAGATTATCAAGGTGTAAGTAATCAAATCTAAGTAAACAAGAACTAGAAAATTAGAATCACTGAATTATCTGAAAATAGGGAAAGGCGACAGCTTGTTTTGAAAGTCATCCATCCAAAGTATTTATTTTAGTTATATTTCACCTTTAAATAACATTGTCTCTTAACAATGACGTCACACCATGAAAAAGAAAGGTAAAGTTCTCCCCCAAAATTTATCAAGAAATTTTTTTATATTTAAAATAATGAATGTCTAAAAAAATTACATCAAATTCAGCATCCATAACCCCTAAAATCCATATACATTAAAACAAAGCAAATTTTATTTCAATGGGAAAATATTTTTAAAGCTATATCTATTAAAATTTAGAACAAGATAAGGTTACCTACTGTCACTATTATTACTGAACATTGTTTTTGAAGCTCTAGCAAATCAGGTAAAAACATAAAATAAAAAAAAGTTGCAGATATTAGTATAGAAACACTTTTCTTCTTCAAATAATTTATCTCAAAAAACCAAGCTCTAGTTTTACTTGAGATTTGAATTTACTTAACAGTGAAATTTGTCAACCTTGCTATGTATAAAAAAAAATTTAAAGCCAATGATTTTTCAATATTAGCAATAACAAAATTAGGAATGTAGAAATGTTTATCTACAAAGTTTTTAAAATAAAACTGAATTACTCAGAAATAAATAAAGAATAACAGTGCAAGAGCCATATTTCAAAAGTAAAACTTCTTAATAAAGGATGTAAATAAAAAGGAAAAAATTGAAAGGCATACCATGTTTTCGGGCAGAAATACTTAATATCACAAAATGCTAATTGTACTGAGATGCATATATATAATGAAAATATGATTACCAATTTATTTGGCGTTCTAACTGGAATATCTCTAATTTTAAGTCTTTATACAATAGGACAGATGACAGAGAAGATTCAAAACGATGACAATAACAGAAAACGAATAGTGAATGTAAGAATAGACTTATTAATTATTAAATAAATTATAAATCCACTTACCTAAATTCAGTATTGACAAAAGACTAGACCAATAAATTATTTGAATCAAATAATCAATCCAGATCCCATTTTGTCTAGGAAAAAAATTAAATTGCAGCACATATAAATATGCTTATGCATATATACATACTTTATACATGTACACAGGTATAATTTGTATGTATGTATGTTTGCACATATATATAAGTATACTTCATTTTATGTATAGCCCGTGACCTTTCAGAATATATATGTGTATATATACAAAAATATGGAGATCTGGCAAGATGGCCAAATAGGAAGAGCTCTGGTCTGCAGCTCCCAGCGAGACCAATGCAGAAGTTGGGGGATTTCTATATTTCCAACTGAGATACGCAGTTCATCTCACTGGGACTGGTTAGGCAGTGATTACAGCCCGCGGAGGGCAAGCAGAAGCAGGGTAGGGTGTAGAATCACCCAGGAAGTGCAAGGAGCTGGGGATCTCCTCCCTAAGCCAAGGGAAGCCATGAGGGACTGTGCTATCCAGGCCAGATACTATACTTTTCCCACGGTTTTCGCCATCCTCACAACAGGAGATTCCATTATGTGCTGACACCACCAGACTCTGGGTTTCAAGCACAAAACTGGGTGGCTGTCTGGGCAGACACCAAGCTAGCTGCAGGAGTTTTTTTGTTTGTTTGTTTTCATACCCAGTGGTGCCTGGAACTCCAGCAAGACAGAACAGTTCACTCCCCTCAAAAGGGGGCTGAAGCCAGAGAGCCAAGTGGTCTCACTCAGCGGGTCCCACTCCCATAGAGCCCAGCAAGCTAAGGATCACTGGCTTGAAATTCTCACTGCCAGCACAGCCGTTTGAAGTCTACCTGGGACAATCGAGCTTGGTGGGGAGAAGGGCGTCCACCATTACTGAGGCTTGAGTAGGCGGTTTTCCCATGACAGTGTTAAAGAGGCCGGGAAGTCTGGACTGGGTAGAACTTACCACAGTGCGGCAAAGCGGCTGTGGCCAGACTGCCTCTCTAGATTCCTCCTCACTGGACAGGGCATCTCTGAAAAAAGGCAGCAGCCCCAGTCAGGGGCTAATAGATGAAACTCCCATCTCCCTGTGACAGAGCACCTGGGGGAAGGGGAGGCTGTGGGCGCAGCTTCAGCGGACTTAAACGTTCCTGTTTGCCGGCTCTGGAGAGAGAAGCGGATCCTGATAAGGAGAATCCTCTCAGCACAGTGCCCAAGCTCTGCCAAGAGACAGACTGCCTCCTCAAGTGCCTCCTGACTGGGAGACACTTCCCAGCAGGGGTCGACGACACCTAATGCAGGAGAGCTCCAGCTGACATCAGGTTGGTGCCCCTCTGGAACGAACCTTCCAGAGGAAGTAGTAGGTAGCAATATTTGTTCTTCTGCAGCCTCCGCTGGCGATACCCAGTCTGAAGTGGATTTCCAGCAAACTACAACAGACCTGCAGAAGTGGGCCTGACTGTTCGAAGAAAAACAAAGAGAAAGCAATAACAACAACAGCAACAAAACGGACCCCTACACAAAAACCCCATCCAAAGGTCATCAGCCTCAAGGATCAAAGGTAGATAAATCCATGAAGATGAGAAAAAAAACAGCAAAAAGAAAATGCTGAAAATTCCAAAAACCGTAATGTCTCTTCTCCTCCAAATGATTGCACCTCCTCTCCAGCAAGGGCACAAAACTGCATGGAGAATGAACTTGATGAATTGACAGAAGTAGGCTTCAGAAGATGGGTAATAACAAATTCCTCCGAGCTAAAGGAGCATGTTTTAACTCAATGCAAGGAAGCTAAAGCCCTTGATAAAAGGTTACAGGAACTGCTAACCAGAATAAACAGTTTAGAGAAGAATATAAATGACCTGATGGAGCTGAAAAACACAGTACGAGAACTTCGTGAAACATGCACAAATACCAATAGCTAAGTAGATCAAATGGAAGAAAGGATATCAGAGATTGAAGATCAACTTACTGAAATAAGGCATGAAGACAAAATTAGAGAAAGAAGAATGAAAAGTATTGAACAAAGCCATCAAGAAATATGGTACTACGTGAAAAGACCAAACCTACAATTGATTGGCATATCTGAAAGTGGTGGGGAGAATGGAACCAAGTTGGAAAACACACTTCAGGATATTACTCAGGAGAACTGCCCCAACCTAGCAAGGCAGGCCAACATTCCAATTCAGGAAATACAGAGAGAACCACTAAGGTACTCCTCGAGAAAAGCAACTCCAAGACACATAATTGTCAGATTCTCCAAACTGAAATGAAGGAAAAAATGTTAAGAGCTGCAGAGAAAAAGGTCAGGTTACCTACAAAGAGAAGCCCAGCAGACTAACAGTGGATCTCTCTGCAGAAACAATTCAGAAGAGAGTGGGGGCCAATACTCAACATACTTAAAGAAAAGAATTTTCAACCCAGAATTTCATATCCAGCCAAACTAAGCTTCATAAGTGAAAGAGAAATAAAATCGTTTATAGACAAGCAAGTGCTGAGGGATTTTGTCACCATGCACCCATTACAGGAGCACCCAGATTTATAAAGCAAGTTCTTAGAGATGCACAAAGAGACTTAGACTCCCACACAATAATAGTAGGAAACTTTAACACCCACCGGTCAGTATTAGAAAGATCAGTGAGACAGAAAATTAACAAGGATTTTCAGGACTTGAACTCAGCTCTGGACCAAGTAGACCTAATAGGCATCTACAGAACTCTCCAACCCAAATCAACAGAATATACAGAATATATTCTTCTCAGTACCACATCACACTTATTCTAAAATCAACCCCATTATTGGAAGTAAAACACCCTTCAGCAAATTCAAAAGAATAGAAATCATAACAAACAGTCTCCCGGACCACAATGCAATCAAATTAGAACTCAGGATTAAGAAACTCACTCAAAACTGCACAACTACATGAAAACTGAACAACCTGCTCCTGAATGACTATTGCGTAAATAGTGAAATTAAGGCAGAAGTAAAGTTCTTTGAAACCAATGAGAACAAAGAGACAATGCACTAGAATCTCTGGGACACAGCTAAAGTAGTGTTAAGAGGAAAATTTATAGCACTAAATGCCCACAACAGAAAGCTGGAAAGATCTAAAACTGACGCCCTAACATCACTATTTAAAGAACTAGAGAAGCAAGAGCAAAGAAATTCAAAAGCTAGCAGAAGACAAAAAATAACTAAGATCAGAGCAGAACTGAAGAAGACAGAGACAGGAAAAACCCTTCAAAAAATAAATGAATCCAGAAGCTGGCTTTTTTGAAAAAAATAACAAAACAGATAGACCTCTAGATAGAATGATAAAGAAGGAAATAGAGAAGAATCAAATAGACACAATAAAAAATGATAAAGAGGATATCACCACTAATCCCACAGATATACAACCAACCATCAGAGAATACTATAGACACCTCTATGCAAATAAACTAGAAAATCTAGAAGAAATGGATAAATTCCTGGACACATACACCCTCACAAGATTAATCAGGGAAAAGTCAAATCCCTGAATAGACCAATAATAAGTTTTGAAATTGAGACAGTTGTTAATAGCCTACCAATCAAAAACAGCCCAAGACCAGATGGATTCACAGCCAAATTCTACCAGAGGTACATAGAAGAGCTGGTACCATTCCTTCTGAAACTATTCCAAACAATAGAAAAAGAGGAATTGCTCCCGAACTCATTTTTTGAGGCCAGCATCATCCTGATACCAAAACCTGGCAGAGGCACAACACACAAAAAATTTCAGGCCAATAACCCTGATGAACACTGATGTGAAAATCCCCAATAAAATACTGGCAAACCAAATCCAGCAGCATATCAAAAAGCTTATCCATCACAATCAAGTCGGTTTCGTCCCTGGGATGCAAGGCTAGTTCAACATATGCAAATCAATAAACATAATCCATCACATAAACAGAAGCAATGAGAAAAGCCCCACGATTATCCCAATAAATGCAGAAAAGGCCTTTGATAAAAGTCAACACTCTTTCTTGCTAAAAACTCTCAATAAACAAGGTACTGATGGAACGTATCTCAAAATAATAAGAGCTATTTATAACAAATCCATAGTCAATATCATATTGAATGGGCAAAAGCTGGAAGCATTCCCTTTGAAAACCGGCACAAGACAAGGATGTCCTCTATCACCACTCCTATTCCACATAGTATTGGAAGTTCTGGCCAGGGCAATCAGGCAAAAGAAACTATCATCAGAGTGAACAGGCAACTTACAGAATAGGAGAAAATTTTTGCAATCTATCCGTCTGACAAAGGGCTAATATCCAGCATCTACAAGGAACTTAAACAAATTTACAAGAAAAAAACAAACAACCCTAACTTTTTCCACTTTTTTCTGAGAGCCCAGACTGGAAAACTTTAGCTAGCCTTATATTAAAATGCAAATAGAACATAGAAATCATTTTTTATTTAAAAAACTGAAGAATATTACAAAAGCTAAATTTGTAGCTATTTGTCAGCAGCAGAGGATAAATAAGTTAATGCAGAACACATTTAAGACTGACAGTGCAGAAGTTGAGTGTTTCTTTGTCCCTGTGAGGAACTGTATGTTTAATAGAGATGTCTATAAATAACACAATGTAATGAAACACCTAGAAAATCTAATTATAATAGCAGAAATCAAAGAAGTCAAAGAGCACTTGAAGGTAATATTGACATTGGCTAGAATCCCTTTTACTTAGAATCTTTAAAATGGAAGATTATATTTCATGACCACACAGTCTAAATTGGTTTATTTACCTGAAAATTAAGAGATCATATTTTCAGAAGGGAATGTTACCTAGGTGGACATTTGACGACAATTAACAGAATCGCTATTATCAATAAGGTAATTCAGCTAGTGCTTCTAGACATTTTTGAATAGTAGCACACCAGATTGCATAACAGATTATGTAACAGTTAAATATAGTTTCTTATTTTCTTTTTTTTCCTGATAATCAGAGTAGATATATGGATTGGCTTGTATTTTAATTTTCAGTTTGTCTTTGAATTTCTATTCAGATGATTATACATTTTCTCATGGAATTTTCATCAATTCCCTCATTTCAATCAATATTTTTTTCTTGCTTAAAGATTAGTGTGCATGTGTTTTTTTTTTTTTGTGCGTGTGTGTGTATGTGCTTATCACAGATATAAAGGGCCTTTGTTTCTGTAAATGTATTTATGATCTTCTAAGTGTTTACTACAATTGCTTGAAGAATTGCTTATATTTTATTCTCCAGTGGATTTTTCAAACTGATCTTTAATTTGGGAGTACATAAATGCATATTATGCTAAAACCTTTTACAAAATCTGTTCCTTTTAGGGTGCTTAGTTACTAGACAAGCCCTTTCGTATCCCTGTACCTCAGTTTTCATCATTTATGACGTGAGATAATTGTGTCTATCTTTAAGTTTGCTGTGAGTATCGATTTATTCGTATACATGAAGTGTGCCCGACTTACGATAAACAAGCTAAGTGTTAGCTACTATTTTCCTTTGGGTAACTCACTTCTTAGTATCCACTGGAAACACATGAAAAACCAGTATTTGATAAATAAAATTAAAACATTGATTTCTGAAGTGGTTATCGTTGTAAAATCATTCTTTTTAAATTCTTTTGAACATGCATAATGAAATTTGGATGAATAATTTTATGCTCTACCAACATATCATAAAGTTGCTTAGTATTTCATTACATTCTTTAGTCATGAGATTTGCTATGTTCTTTTGTTTTTCATTGTAACCAGTTTTTTTTTTTTTTTTTTTTTTTTTTTTGAGACGGGGTCTCGCTGTGTCACCCAGGCCGGAGTGCAATGGCACAATCTCAGGTCATTGCAAGCTCTGCTTCCTGGGTTCATGCCCTTCTCCCGCCTCAGCCTCCCGAGTAGCTGGGACTACAGGTACCCGCCACTACGCCTGGCTAATTTTGTTTTTGTATTTTTAGTAGAGATGGGGTTTCACCGTGTTAGCCAGGATGGCCTTGATTTCCTGACCTCGTCATCCGCCTGCCTCGGCCTCCTAAAGTGCTGGGATTACAGGCGTGAGCCACTGCGCCCAGCCCATCATGACTAGTTTTAATTACTCACATATATTAAAAAATTAAGCTGACACTTATGACAACCTCAAAGGCTTTCCAATCCAGATCCTAACATTCAAGGTATTCCATAATTATAACTCTAAGTAATTTTTCCATTCAGTTTTCTAAGAAGGCAAATTGAACTTCTTGCTTCTCTCCATTCAAACATCAATTTGTGTGATTCTTACCACTTCAAATAAACACTCCTTATTTTTCAGATTGATAGGCTTAAAGTCTCATGAAAATGCTTAGTGACATGCAATTAAGTTTTGATATAAACTGTGCTCAGTATTTTATCACTAATAAGCATACACACATAGGACATAAATCGGTTATTTTTTCCTGCTCTTGGCTTACTACATCTGTATAGGCTTAGCTAAAATGGCTTCAACTAGCACATGTAGTGGGGAGAGGTTTATGATTACAGAGTTTTTACACAGGCCTTGTTCCAGTGCAACCTTAGAAATATCTTTTCTTGGGTGAAAAAATGAGGTGGTAATGATGAAAGCTCCTGTATGGTAAGAAACTAAAACAAATATGAGCTTGCTCACAGCCAGAATATGAGTGACTCAAAAATGAGGAATGGAAGGATCATCACTAGATATTACGAGAAATAATTTTTATCAGTAATAGATAAATAAGCATTTAATATTACATCTGGAATTTGAATCTTGGAAAATTTTTTATACCAAATTTTCACAATGTCATCAAGGGTTGCAGTTCCAGGGAAGGTGGAGTAAGCAAATGCTTTCCTTTTACTCCCAAATAATACAACTCTAAAGCTCATATAGAATTCATAGCCCAACTATTTGAGAATACTAAAAATAAACTATCAACAGGCAGCTTAGAGAAGAACATCAGAATTCAACACACCAACAAATCTGTAATAAGTTTACTATATGTTTCTTCCTTTGGTATCTTCCTTTTGGAATTTAACCCAACTAAGAATCCAGAAAGAAATAAGCAATATTGGGCAGACAGAGAAAAACAGAAATATTCTGAGAAGTAAAGGGAACTCCTATAACTGAGAGAGAGTAAGAAAAGAGTCTTATTTGGTTTCTCATTTCTTCCCATTCTTCTGCACATAGCTACCAAACAATCCCACAATGACAACAGGGGCCTGTAGAAGGCAACATTCTAAGGAGTGGAAAACTTCCTCTCCATTCAGTAAGCCTAGGTTTCTATAAGACCAGGGAAAAACCCTACTGCTTTTCTTTATTTTGTTTCTCTATCTCCTACTCTTGCTGTAGGTCTCTGTCTCTGCCACATGTCTATCGGTACAGTGTGGTCACAGAAATGAGCAGTGTCTCCTGGCACACCAAATAAAGGAACCCTTGGGAAACAAAGAACTTGGGAGATAGCAGAGGGAAAGTGATTTCATAAAGTTAATCAGAAACTCCAGCACTCACCTCCAAACTGCAGACCTGTGAATCTGATACAAATTAGCATATCAAAGATTTTGAGAATGGAACTAAAGAGCATATGTCCACCTAGGTCCCAGACTCACCACCAGGTGACTCAAAAATGGGACAGGTGAGTAACAATGAAAGGCTTTGAAAACTGTAGTGATATTAGATCATCAGCTGAAATAATGTTGGGTGGAATTTTTAGCTTAAGCTTAACAAGGTCAGCAGCTCTCTACAACAAAAATATCAACATTCTCCATAATATCTAAGCAATGCCTACCTTCTCATAATGCAATATTCAAAATATACAGGAAACAATAGAAAATTACTCAGGTTATAAAAAATGTTGAAGCTGACAAGTCACATGGAAATATCAACTGAGTCCAATGACAAGATTACATATATGTTGAAATTATCAGAAAAAGACCGAAAAGTAGGTACTATAAAATTCCTTGAATGAGTAATTGTGAATACTCTTGGAACAAATAAGAAAAAACAGAAAGTATTAGCAAATAGAGCCATAACGAAACACCAAATGGAAATTATAGAGCTAAAATACACAACAATTAAAATGAAAATAATCACAAAACTGAATCAATGGCAAAATGAAAATGACAGAGAAAATAATTAGTAAACTTGCAGATAAAGCAGTAGAAATCAACAACTATAAATGAGAAGAAGAAAACGATGAAAAAATATGAAAACAAGACCTCAAAGACCTGGGAAACAACACCAAAAAAATCTAACATCAGTGTTAGATATTTAGCGTTAGAGTAGTGTGATAGCAGTCCCAGAAAAAGAGTATAACTGTAGCAGAGGAAAAATAATATTTGAATAATGACACAAAACTTTCCTAGTTCAGAAAAATACATAAACCTACAGATGCAAGAATATGAGTAAACCCTAAATAGAATGAATGTAAGAAAACCCATGCCTAGATATATTAAAATCAAATCACTGAAAACTAAAGACATGGAAAAAAAAAAACCCTTAAAAGTAGCAAGAGAAGAAAAACACACTGCTTATAGAAAAATAATTCAAATAACTGTAGGATTTTCATCAGAAACACTAAAGCCCAGAAAAGTTAGCATACATTTTTAAAGTGTTTAAACAAAATAGCTGTCAAACCCAAAATAGTATTTAGTGAAAATATTCAAGAATAGAGTACATTGAAACATTTTCAGAGGAAGAAAACTAACAAAGCTCATAGCCAAAAAACAAGCAAACAAACAAACAAAAAACTTGTTTTAAAAAATGCTACAGGAACTTCAAATAAAAGGAAATAATACCAGAGAAAACATGAAACATGGAAATCAGAAAGAACAAAAGAAATAATAAATATCTGAGTAAATATAACATACTTGCTTCTCACATTTGATTGTTTTAAATTTTATGTAGTGATTGAAAGTAAAAAGTACACTGTCACATTGTCTTTTCAATATTTGTAGACATATAAGAAAACCATTGTGTTAATGAGACAGAACGAAGGAACCTATGTGGTTGTAAGATTTTCACATTAAAATTGAAGTGGCAAAGTATCATTTTCATATAGCCTTTGAAAAGAGAACTATGTCTTTTGCAATCTTTTCAGCAACCACTAAAACAATTAGAGAAAGAGATTTTGTCAAAATCAAAGTGAAAAATTCAAAATAATTTGCTAGAATGTTGAAATAACCTCCTACATAAAAGAAAGGGAAAAATAAGGAATAAAATCAGAGAAAGAAAGAGAAAACAAATAATAACATGGCATGACTAATTCCAAAAGTATCAATAATATAAAGTATAAATGGTCTAAAAACAGAGATTGTCAGATTGGATTAAAAAATAACCTAAATATATCAACTGATCTTCTAAAGCCTGTCAAGAATATACAATGAATAAAGAATAGTCTTTTTGAATAGGATCTTTTTGAATAGTTGGGAATACTGGAAATTCATAAGCAAAAGAATAAAATGAAACCACTATCTTACACCATATATGAAAAGTAATTCAAAATAGATTAAAGACCTCAGTGTAAGACCTGAAACCTTAAAACTCTTGGGAAAAATAAAATAAAATAAACAGAAAAAAAATCCTTGATTTTTGTTTTGACAGTTTTTTGTGGGGAGGGATATCACACCAAAAGCTCAGGCAACAAAAGCAGAAATTAGTAAGTGGAATTATGCCAGACTAAAAAATTTCTGCACAGCAAAGCAAGCAGGCAACAGACTAAATAGACAACCTATGGAATGAAAGAAGATATTTGCAAACCATATATCTTGTATTTGTTCTTTCTCTCACTGATATAAAGAAATACCTAAAACTGGGTAATTTATAAAGAAAAGAGGTTTAATTGGCTCATAATTCTGCATGCCGTACAGGAGGCATGGCTTGGGAGGTCTCGATAAACTGTCAATCATAGTGGAAGGTGAAGGGGAAGCAGACACGTCTTACGTGGCTGGAGCAGGAAAAAGTGAAAGTGAAGTGGGAGGTGCTACACACTTTTAAACAACAGATCTCATGAGAACTCACTCACTAGCATGAGAAAAGCAAGGGAGAAATCTGCCTCCATAATCCAATCACCTCCCAACAGGTCCCTGCTTCAAAATTGGGATTACTATCTAACATGAGATTGGGGTAGAGGACAGAAGTACAAACCATATTATTGCATCCCTGGTGCCTCCCAAATCTCATGTCCTTCTCACATTGCAAATACAATTATCCCTTCTCAACAGTCCCCCAAGTCTTAACTTATTTCAGTATTAACTCAAAAGTCCATGTTCAGAGTCTCATTTGAGACAAAGCAAGTCCCTTCTGCCTATGAGCCTGTAAAATAAAAAACAACTTAGTTACTTCCAAGATACAATGGGGCTACAGGCACTGGGTAAATACACCCATTCCGAAATGGAGAAATCAGCCAAAAGAGAGGGGCTACAGACCCCTTGCAAGTCTGAAACCCAGCAGGGAAGTCATTAAATCTTAAAGTTCCAAAATCATCTCCTTTGACTCCATTGACTCCATGTCTCACATCCAGAGCACACTGATGTAAGGGCTGGGCTCCAAGGCCTTGCACATCTTTGCCCTTGTGGCTGTGTAGGACTCATCTCTCATGGCTGCTCTCAAGGGTTGGCATTGAATGCCTGCATCTTTTCTGCACACACAGTGCAAGCTCTCAGTGGATCTACCATTCTAGTGTCTGGAAAAGGGTGGCCCTATTCTCACAGCTCCACTAGGGAGTGCCCAAGTGAGGACTCTGTGTAGGGGCTCCAACCCCACAGTTCCCCTCTGCATTTCCCTAGTAGAGGTTCACCATGAAGGCTTCACCCATGTAACAGACTTCTGCCTGGACATCCAGACATTTTCATACACCCTCTGAAATCTAGGTGGAGGCTCCCAAACTTCAACTTTTGCCCTTCATTCACCCACAGGCTTAAGCCATGTGGAAACCATCAAGGATTACAGTTTTCACGCTCTGAAGCAGTGGCTTGAGCTGTAGCTTGGTCCCTCTTAGCCATGGCTGGAGCTGGAGAGTCCAGGATGCAGGCACCATGTCCCAAGACTACACAGAGCAGCATGGCCCTGGGCCTGGTCCACAATAGCATTCTTCCCTCTAGGCCTCTGGGCCTGTGATGGGAGGGGCTGCTGCAGAGTTCCAGGAAATGACTCCAAGGCCTTTTTCCCATTGCCTTGACAATTAGCAATTTACTCCTCTTATGCAAACTTCTGCAGCTGGCTTGAATTCCTCCCCAGAAAATGAGTTTTTCTTTTCTATCACATGGTCAGGCTGAAACTTTTCCAGTCTTTTATGCTCTGCTCCCCCTTTTAATATAAGTTCCAGTTTCAGATCATCTCTTAGCTCATGCATATGAGAATATGCTCTTAAAAGCAGCCAGATGACATCTTGAATGCTTTGCTGCTTAGAAATTTCTTCCACCCCATATCCTAAGTCATCTTTCTTGGTTCAAAGTTCCACAGATCCCTAGAGCAGGGGCACAATGCTGCCAATCTCTTTGCTAAAGCACAGTAAGAGTGATTTTATTTCAATTCCCAATAAAGTTTTTTATCTCCATCTGAGACCTCCTCAGCCCCGACTTCACTGTTCATATCACCGTAAGAATTTTGGTTACAAGCATTCGACAAGTCTCTAGGAAGTTCGAAACTTTCCCTCAACTTCCTGTATTCTTCTGAGCCCCCAAAACTATTCCAACTTCTTATTACCCAGTTCCAAAATCACTTCCACATTTTTAAGTATCTTTATAGCAATGTTCCCACTTCTCTGGTACCAATTTTCTATATTAGTTCATTCTCACACTGCTATAAAGACATATCTAAGACTTTGAAATTTATTAAATAAAAGGATTAATTGACTCATAGCTCTGTAAGCTGTACAGGAGGGATAGCTGGGGAGGCCTCAGGAAACTTTCAATCATGGAAGAAAGTGAAGGGGAGGCAGACATGTCTTACATGGCTGGAGCAAAAGAAAGTGACAGTGAAGGGGGAGGTGCTATACACTTTTAAACAACCAGATCTCATGAGAACTCACTCACTATCACAAGAACAGCAAGGGAGAAATCTACTTCCATGATCTAATCACCTTCCAGCAGGCCCCTCCTCCAACACTGGGATTACAATTTGACATGAGATTGTGTTGGGAATACACATCCAAACCATATCAGTTCTGTTAAGAAGTTAATCTCCAAAATATGTAAGAAATATATAAAGTCAATAACAACAATTTAAAAAACTAATAACCTAATTTTAAAAGTGGGATAATGTCTTGAAGACACATTTATTCAAAGAAGACCTCAAATGCCAATAGGTGTATAAGAAATGCTGAAGATCACACTATCCAAGAAATGTAAAACAAAACTACAATATCATCTCAAATCTATCTATGTCTACTATTACAAAAAGACGACAAATGTTGTTAAGCATGTGAAAAAAATGAAACTCTTGCACACTGTTGGTAGAAATGGAAAATGGTGCAAACAATATTAAAAAAGTATGGAGGTTGCTGAAAAAAATTAATATAATCCAACACATTGTCTTTTCTGTTTAGTGTTGCTATAAAGGAATCCCTGAAGCTGTGTCATTCATAAAGAATAAAAGGTTTTGCTCATGCTTATGAATGGCCTGAAAATTCAAGATTGGGCATGTGCTTCTGTTGACATCCTCACACTGCTTCAACTTATAGTGGAAGGTGAAGGAGAGATGGCATGCGCAGGGATCACATGGCAAGAGCAGAAGCAAGAGAGAGCAGGTAGGTGCTGGCCTCTTTTTAACAACCAGGTCTTGCAGGAACTAATAGAGTGAGAACTGAGAGAGAGCGTTAATATATTCATGAGAGATTTGCCCCCATGACCTGAGTATCTCCCACTAGGCCCTACCTCCCAATATTGCCAAACTAGGAATTCCATTTCAATATGAGATTTGGTAGGGCCAAATCATATCCAAACCATAGCACATATTATCCAGCAATCTTACTTCTGATTATTTATTCAAAAGAAGTGAAATTAGAATATGAAAAAGATATTAGCACTTCTATTTTCATTGCAGTACTATCTATAATAGCATGATGTGGAAACAACCCAACTGTCCATCCTCACATTAATGGAAAAAATATGGTATATACACAACAACAAAATGCTATGAAACCTTAAATAATTTCTGCAATATGTGACAATGTGGATGAACCTTGAAGACATCATGCGAATATGCCAGTCACTGAAAGATGAATGCTGCACAATTTCATTTATATGAGGTATGTGAAATAGTCAAATTCATAGAATTAAACTACAGAATGGTGTTTTTCAGGGGCTGGTGGGGAGACAGAAGTGATGAGTTACTAATCAAAAGACAACATTTAAGTTAAGCAAGACTAATGAGCTCTGGATCTACTCTAAAACATTGTACAAATAATATATTGTACACTTAAAAATTTGTTGGGAAGGTGTATCTCATACTAAGTGTCTTTATGACAAAAATAATTTTAAAAAATAAAATGATAGAAAAGGATATACCCTGCAAACACTAATCAAAGGAAAGCTGGAATGTCTGTATCATTGTCAAAGGAGATTTCAGAGCAAAGAAATTTACCAAGGTTAGAGAGAGCCATAGAGATACTGCATATTAAATGAAGTGTCAATTCACTAAAAAGACATAAAAATATTAAAAGTGTATTTACCTAAAAACAGAGTTTCAAAATACATGAAACAAAAGCTGACAGAACTGAAAAATCTTGGATACCTTAAAACTTTTCTCTCAGTAATAGAAGTAGTAGAGAGAAAAATCAACAAGTTTATAGAACTGAACAACCTCATCAACTGATTGAATCTAACTGACATAGAACACTCAACAGTATCTCATTTCACATTCTTTTCAACTGGACATGGTAAATTCCACCTGCTAGATTATACCTTGGTCATAAAACAAGACAACACAATTAAAAGACTTAAAATACAAAGTATGTGTTTTGAGCATATTTGAATTTAACCAGAAATCAATAACGAAATTGGCAAAATTGCTAATCATTTGGAAATTCAACAACAGAGTCCTAAAAATTCCATGGGTAAAAGAGGAAGTCTCAGAGCAGATTAGAAAATAATTTAATTTAATAAAAATACAACATATTAAAATGTGTGTGATGCAACTGCAGCAATACTCAGAATTTATAGCTTTGAATGCTTATACTATTAATATAACAATCATTTCAAATTAATAACCTAAGGCTACATCTTAAGACAAATTAATAAATAATTTTAAGCATTAAAATTGAAAATAAAAACAAAAGACAAGCAATAATTTAAAAAAAAAGGTTTGTTCTTTAAGAAGAGCAGTGAAATTGATAAACCTCTAGCAATATTAACAAAAAAGGTGAGAAAACAAAAAACAAATTATATCAGAAATGAAAGAATGTCATTATAGACTCTTAGGTGAGGTTATTAAAAAGAAAATAAGAACATTACTACAGATCCTACAGTAATATTATTGAAAATAGACTACTACAAACAACTCCATGTACATAAATTCACCAAGTTAGATAAAATAGACTAATTCCTGAAACACTATAAACTATTAAAACTCATTCAAGATAAAATATATGATTTGAATGGTGTTATAACTATTAAAGAAATTGAATTTGTAGTTAAAGTCATCCATAAAGGATTCTCCATGCATACATGATCTCACTGGTGAATTCTACCAAACATTTAGGAAATGTTTATAGCATTTCTTCCAGTAGCAGATGATGAAGAAAAGGAAATACTTCCTACTCATTTTACAAAACTAAGATTACCCTGATACCTAAATCACACAAAGACAGTGCAAAAACAAAGAAACAAACAAAAAATTAGGGGATAGCTTCTCCAGTAAACATAGAAGCAAAATCCTTAATAAAATATTATCCAATGAAATTCATCACTATATCAAAAGAATATCATGCGTGCCCAAGTGGAGTTTACCCAAAAAATGTAAAGCTGACTCAATATTTAAAAAAACAATCAATATAATCCACCATATTAGAAGTCTAAAGAAAGAAGAAACGCATGATTATCTTAACAGATGGAGGAAAGCAACGACAAAATACAATTTTCATTCTCAATAGTTATTTTCAGCAAATTAGCAATAGAAGGGTATTCCCTTAACCTCAACCTGATAAAAGGCATCTATACAATACATCCAATATCATATTAGGTGGTGAAAGACTGAATGCTTTGCTCCTAAGATCTGGAACAGGGCAAGGATATCCACTCTCACCAAATTCAGTCAACATTCAACATTCACCACTCTTATGATACAGTGTTCAGTAAGTTCCTTTATAATGGAATTTCCCCAAAACTAAATCAATCCTCATTTCCTCACAATTGAATTGAGGGCTAAGAGATTAATAAAGGTGATTGGAACCCTGTCAGGAAGACAACAAACTGGAGCCTAACATATCACCATCTGACCACTCGATAGGTGAATTCTACTTATCCTTCAAAGCTGTCCCAGTGCTACCTCTATCATTACCTTTTATGCTGAAGATGTTTTCACTACCATAAAAACCACACCACAATGGTTTTTGTATTTCTTATTTTATGAAATTAATTTTCCTTATTAACATGGTTGGGGACATTCACATTCTATCCATGTCTTAGTATGTTAAGTATTTCAAGAGCTAAGTCTATGCCAATCATCTGGACTGCCTAAAATATAGATAGGACTTAAAAATTAGCAGATTCTCAAAGTTTATTTAATGATGAACAAATGAATGTACACTTAAGACCTCTAACTCACTAGCACAAGTTTACAGAATTTGATCTCTTGTATTTTCCCACCAATATACTTACCATCGTGACTTTCACCCAGCATTCTCATGCAAAGATGCATTTCAGACAATTAAGATAATTGGTTGAATCGGGTTATCTCTTCTTTGATGCAGCTACATATTTGTATTATAATTGGGACTTTAATTGTTAATAACATAAGTTTTTTTTCCATGTCTATCTTTCTCCCCTACTTCAGCATAAACTCCTTGAAAACAAAGAGACCGTGGCATTGTGTTTCTCTCTCTCTCTCGTATGTGTTTGTGTATGTGTCCTTACAGAGAAGTTGACAGCAAACGTGTTGGATACCTGCCTGATTATTTTTAAAAATTATATTCTTAAATCAGGCCTATTTGGTATATAAAAAAGAGTATTTTTAAACTTCTCCCTCTTGTTCCATTTAGATTTAGCCATTGAACCTGAGAGGCCATCTAGTTGTTAGATCAGATATTGCCAGAGGATAAATTTTTCATTTTTAGAGATCTTTCTATTCTTTGTTTCTCAAATATGGTTTTTGTTCTAAGCATATTCTAATATTGGCACAGAAAAGACCAAATAACCTTTTCTCTTACACTTTCTAAAATCCCTCTTCCAAATATGATACCATCTGTGCCAAGAATGTGAAAAAGTAAAACTGTAATTCATCTCAAAAATGTATCTTGATGAAATAATTATTAAAAGTTTTTCTAAGTCTTTTCTTCTGCTGCCTTATGGTGGAGACAAATTCCTATCAATAATGAATATAATTGTTAGTGTCTTTCTTCCTTTATTCTGACTTAAGCCAAATTAGAATATTCTCACATTTAAAATAAATGCATTAACAACACACTGTGAGGTTACTTGTTACGCATCAAAATAATCATTCTCTCTTGGTTAATGGAAATTCTATGGATATTATTTGTAAAACCTTCCTAAAATTTCTATTAATAATAAATAATCCTGATGCTTCTTTCTATAATATATAACCTGAAATTTAAAAATTATGCTGACTTTATTAAAGACTTTTTTTTTCAAATAAGAACTTAAATCAGATTCAATAGGCTTAAACTCTAAGTGGAGTCCCTAAGACTATTCAAAATTCAAAGTTGCATTCTGAACAGATTGCACAAGCTAGTTGATGAAACTTGAGCTAATTACACTAATGTTGACAAATGCACTGGCACAAAAACAAATGTCACATTTTTCAAAAAATTACACCTCTTCAAAAGATGCTAAATAGATTCAGTGATTTGTGGGTGTAACTGAGCTATTTGTGCAAAAACAGTTTTGAAAATTCTGATTTAAAATACAAAAAGTACAAGTGCAGTATGCGCACTTATATGCAATTTTCAAATGTATTTTAATGAAATACTTGAAGTTTTGAAACAATAAAGAAATTGCTATATTTGGCACTGGAAGATTATCTCTAAGTTGTTTATTTTAAATTATGTATCATATACAAAAATAAAGTCTTTCTATCTTGAAGAATGCCTTTATTTATTTTTAAATGAGTTATTATGGATATCTCAACTCAAAATGCATTTCTAAAAGAGATTTGAATCTGTACACTCTCAGGAACAGTATTTCTCATACGTTCAGCCACAAATATACTTACCTTTTCTATTACTTGGCAAAAGAGCTAGTATGTTCTGAAAGTTTTGTGCTAGACATTCCGCTAAAAGTTTTAAGTAAATGATCTAATTTCATTCTTCTGGTAGGCCTGTAAGGGAGAAATCATAATCTCCTTTTTAAAGATGGGATATCTGAGAATCAATGAGGTCAAATAACTCACCCTAGCTAACGAAGCTGGAATTTGATTCAAGGTATCCCTGACTCTCAAGCTTCTGCACTTCATGCTATCCCCACCACGGATCTCAAATGGAAAGTGTTTGACTATTATGTATTTAAAATTATCAGCTTCCTTCTATATTACATTCAAGGGAAAGTTACAGTGATGTTTCCAGAATATATCAATGATGCCTTTCGTGTTGGGATTTGTCTTTTCTTTGTTGTTTTAAACTACCCCCAAATCACTGTTGTGCTACCTTATAAGAGGCCAATCTGGGCCTCATATCCACTATAGCTTAAGTAATTAGTCTTGTCTGACACTTTAGAATTCTTAATTAAAAAAATAAAGTGGATTAGAAATATTGATATCAGAAATCAAGTTTGCAATTAAAAACTAAAAAGTAAATTCAAATATCAGAAGTTGTGTTTGTCGTCTACTAAAATCCTGGGTAGATGAAGAATCTTACTGAAAAAAACCTGCTCCTACCCAGCAACAGAAGGATAAGATTCATTTGGCCAATATATTATTTGCCCTTATCATTAGGGTTTAAAATGGTCATTCAGTTTGAAGCAACCAAAGTAACAAATATGTCACACAGGAGTCATTGAAGTATATTGTATATTATTTTTGGCCTATAAATTTCATCTACAAACCAATACTGAAATTATAAAGAAAATACTAACCTTTAAGTTTGACGTAAACAGAGTAGCAATATTTTTTATTTTTCTATCTCCTATTATGAGCCAATTCAAACTATTCTATATTTATTAAATTTTACCTTCACTAGAATTTTCTCTTGTCTCTGGTTTACTTGGATAGTTTGAACTGAGGATGCCTTATTTCTTACTACCTGACTCTTTGTACTAGTCTCTTCTTACATACTATAAAGAACTACCTGAGACTAGGCAATTTATGAAGAAATGAGGTTTTAATTGACTCACAGTTCCATAGGCTTAACAGGAAGCATCACTGGGAGGTCTCAGGAAACTTTCAATCATGGTAGAAGGTGAAGGGGAAGCAAGGACCTTCTTCACAGTGGTGGCAGGAGAGAGAAAGAGCAAAGGGGAAGTGCCACACACACTTCTAAATCATCAGATCTCACTCACTATCCTGCGAACAGCAAGGGGGAAATTCACCTCATGATCCAATCACCTCCCACCATGCCTCTCCTCCAATTCCACATGAGATTTGGGCGGGGACACAAATCCAAACCATATCACTCTTTGACCCATAATTTAATATGAGATTGGTTTCTCATATTCCTATCTACATATATTTTTGCCCTCCAGACTTCTGTCCCTTTGGGACTTCTGGCTTTATTGTTTTGGGGAGTTTCTCAAATATTATTCAGTGTTCTTATCTTCCAGAGGCATCTTCACATCTTATAGCCCTTTACCAACTAGTTGTTTTAAGTTGAAACATCTTTCTGTTTTACAGGCATATAAGCCATAATCTGTATCTAAGGTAATAGCTTTGGGACCAGAGAATTCTAGTCTGAATTTTTAAGATAAGTAAAAAATATTTTGATTTATTGAAGATCCAGATAAACAGTTTAAAAGAAATATTAGACTTGGTTCTTCAAAATCTTCACTTGGGGCTTTTAAAAGTAATTAAGTAAAAAAATTCAAAAAGGTTTTAAATTTAACTAAGTAGATTATTTCTACCTTTTCTATGATATAAACTTATTTAAAGATCACAAATTTACAGTTATTTAGCATACCTATAAGGTGTTTATTCATTTTACAAGAGTACAAGTATCCACACTCTATGAAGCAGCTGGAAAGTATTTTTTCCTATGTTATTTTATATTCATATATGGTAATAATAATAAAAATATTTTCTTTGTTTATTGAGGACATGTTTTAAATTCTAAGTTATATTACCATTCTAATTAAACAAATTCTGATATTTTTGATAATGTTAGTATTCAGTTTTTAATGGTCTAATATTCAGCTATTTTTAAGGTCACTTAATATAGTGCAGAGAATAAAGGCCTGGGAAAAAGAATAATTGAATTCAAATTTAAGAAATGTGTGACCCACTTGGTACTAGATATCCAGTTGGTTATTTGCCCTTCTTTGAGTACTAGTTTACTTGTCTAAAAACAGAATAGTGTTCCCTGCCTAAATTTCAATTACACAAAATCTTCTCAAATTATAACATGCAGCATATCAGGAACCAACATTCTTAATTAACAGTATACAAGTTCGATGGAATGCTAATGGAAAAACTACTAAAGTAAGAAATTTCGTTTTTACATAACCAAACTATAGAAGAAAAACATATGATTGATATGGATTCAGGTGTATCTCTATGGGATATCTCACATTTCACAGCTGTTTCATCAGTTTAGCGTCAATCACATTCTTTGTCTTTGTTCTTTGTTATTTGTCTGAGTTGTGTGTAGATATTGTGAGTAAAGTTGAATTTTCATGTTTAGTTCATGTGGAAATGAATATGGAGATATCAGAAGGTTATTTTCTAATTGGTTACTTTAAAAGCTAAGAAAAAGTCAAAAGCATACTGAACAAATCACTGTGGAGCAGAGAGAATGACTTTCTGTAAAAATAAATAATGCTTTCAAGGTCATTTAGGATGTTCCACTATCTAGTGAATGTATTTCAGAATTTATTCCGTTATAGACAGATTAACATACATATCTGTGATTTCACTTGTATATGAAAAGTGAAAGATCTAGTCATCCAGATGTTTTCAAATATTTGTTATCATGTAAGGAAAACATCTGGATGAAGATGAATTAGTATTTTTTTTCTGGTTGTTGCTGTTGTTTTTATTTTCCCTGTAAATATTTAGGCATTTTATAGAAATAACCTAGATGTCTATCAAAATAGCCATAACACAGTGATAATTGTTATTTTTACTAGATAATAAAAATCTCTAGCTTATTAATTTGTGCAGATATAGATCCAGAATGGATATTTAGAGAACCAGACTGATAAAAACATATGTATTGCTATCACTTTGCGAAATTTCATTATATAAAACATGGGTATTTAAAAAAATCTTTAAAAGTATGAATATATTTCCAGAGGCTTATCAGAATGGGATCTGCTCTACTTCAGAGCTGGCTGTAGGTTATTCATATTATTAAGTGGAAGAGTGCTTTGATCTTTAAATTGAATGTTGATGATACACATGGCTAAACATACACATTATTTTTACAGTAACACTAGAAATAACATTTCTATTTTGTCTTCAATAACTCAGAACAGAGACAAGATATCTCTGCCTCTGCACTGTTCCCCACCCCCTTCCAATTTTATTTCTCACTGTATTTGGTTTTATTATAGAGAATAATAGAGTTGGGTTTGCTTTTTGTGTTTTATTTTAAAAACAGAACTGTCACTTCTGTTGCTCCATCGATTGCTCTTCAAGTAGTTTAAAATCAGAATAGCAGAGACTGTAATAAGGTACCCTAGCCTTTCTTCTGACATTTATTAACCTTACTAGTGTTTAGTGAGCTCATATACTGACTGATAGAAACAGTAATTTTTTGTTCCCATAGACATGGATATCAGTTGCCTTGGAATAAGACCAGATCTTGCTCAAGAAGTATCTTTACAATTTTTAGGATATGGGCATCTTTTTTTTTTTTCTTTTTACATTGATACTTAATTGACCAAACTTTAATTTGGGTAAAATACCTGATGTAAAAATTACACCTTCCTTCTGAAGTATTCATCCTAAAAATAAACTCACTAAGAAGGCCATGTTTCACAGTCTAAACATTGTTTGGAGTGAGACTGTAGTCATGGCCAAAATAATAAAGTCAACCTTTAAACAGGTAAATTTTGGGCAGCATCCGGTCATAGCATACAGGTGATTCACTAATGGTTTCTGTACTTGTTTATTTTACATATTTGAAAAATAATAACTACCTGACTTTTAAAGTTAATACTGAGAAAATAAGTAACTGAGAAATCAAGGCATATTTATTCAAATAGATTACGGATTTACCCAAAGAAATATTACTGGTCTCAATCTTTATGCCCCTAAAGATCTAAAGTAAAACATTGATTAACAGAAAGTTCAGTTAAGACCCTGACCCTGTTAAGATAGTCAGATTGGTCAACATTTTTCAGTTTCTTATCCTTAATTAGCAGAGCTGTCCAAAGCGTTTTGATATAAATCTATAGAGAAAAATAGAATGTAAACTCTTTCCCCTGTTATTAATGCTTGTTTTGTAGATGATGAAGTATAAAATGATTGATCATGTACTATAATGATGGATAAGGACAATTTCTGGAAAGGTCAAACCTATTAAATAAATCTTAGAATATATTTAAAAATATCTTATCTGCCTCATTGGAGCATGGTAACTCTTTTCAATGACAGGTGGCCTTCGTATGAGAGGAATAACAGCAGTGGCAAACAATAGGCATTCATACTTCAATAAAAGTGTGGTGGAGAAAGGAATGAGAATTGTGAAATTATCAGCGCTAAAGTAAGAGGTTAACTTGAATAGGACAAAATAAGTAAAAACCTTGACTACAGCCACATAATCCTGAAACATTCTAATGAAAAGTAATGCAAAGCAAATAAAACAAAACAAAATAAAAAATAAGCAAACAACAGCAACAACAAATAACCCTTTTAAACAAGCAATTTGTTTACATGGTAACATACAAATATTTGAACAACTACTTATTTTTAATGCCATGCAAAAAAATATACTAATAATAGGTTCTTTACAAATAAACTACACTCTTTCTATCAAACACACATTTTTTATGTTGTATTCAAAAGCTTTATTTCTACCAACTTAGGAACTTAGGATAAAGTTCACTTAGATTTAACAGAATTATGTAAGCATAGAACTAAAGGAACATTGGTGCTCATCTTGTAAACACAATGCATATTTTTAAAATCTGGGTTTCACGTTGTCATAAAACAAACTAGTCATTTCTTCCACCTTCATTTATAACTCAATAGGAATGATTTCCTTATATTTAGAATTATTTGTGAAAGATAATATGTGAGTAGTATATCATTGAATGCATTTATCAGCATTAATCAGCAGTCCTTTCAGATCACTCTTTATTCCCCAAATTTCCATTTATTTTTGTAGTTGCTTAAACAAGCTAAAATATTCAGGTCACCATATTTTGCATTAGCACTTCTTCTGCCTATAAATTCCTATTTAGACTTAATTGCCCTGGAAATTTTCTTCTGATTCTTTATCACTTAACCCACGTATCATGAAATCTTTCTAACCTTTTCCAGAGAGGTTTAGGTTCTCTCCTAGGTTCCCACAAAGTTCTTTTAAGTTTCTTTTATGAAATTTAACACATGATCATAATTGTATCTTAAATATCTGTCGCCTCTACCAGACTCCTAGCTCCTCAAGGTCTCATATTATGGAATGATAATTTGTACATCTGTGAAACCTAAAATAGCAAACGATATTTAATATGGATCTAGTTTATAAATGAGTGTATGAATAAGAGAAACTTCACAGGAACTTTCACAGAGAATGTTGTCACATGAAGCTATCACAACTAGACACTCAAATGTCTTGCATACTATATTAGTTTCCTATAGAAGATGCCACAAACTACCACATACTTAGTAGGCTAACTACACAAACTTATTCTCTCACAGTTCTGAAAGGCGTAAATCTGAAATCAGTGTCAATGGGCTTAAATCAAGATATTTGGAGAGTTGGTTCCTTCTGGAGAATGAAGCAAAAATCCATTTCCTGACCTTTCCAGCATCTATTGGTCACCTGTATTCCTTGGCTTGTGGCCCCTTTTAAGAAGTTCAAAGTACATCAATCCACCCTGATTCCCTTATCAAATCTCATTATCCTCCTCCTCTGACTACTCCTGTGTCTGCCTTTAAATGATTACTATGATTACATGATTACTACGTAATCATCATGATTACATAGTACTCACCTGAATAATCTCCCCATCTCAAGATTATTAATTTAATCACAACTACGAGATCTACCTTTCCATATAAGGTAACAGTGATAGGTATTGAGAATTAGGACATGGAGGTATTTGGGGGCCGTTTTTCAACCTACCGCCAATACTCTGTTGCATTCTGACAGAGAATTATGTGAACACAGTTTAACCTTTTCTTAATGGCATAACATCATCATTACATAAGTCAGCGACTTCAGTGGGATGTAATAGAGTAATATCCATTGCAGAAAAGAGATGCCTTTCTCTACCACAGAGCTTTTCAAGGTTTATTTTGTTTTGTTTGTTTGTTTGTTTGTTTTTAATGGAATTACTATGTGAGCTGGCAGGGAGGGGAACAGAGAAGAGAAACCTTTTCTCAAAAGAGGATTTTGGGAAAAGCTTCTGCGTATTAAACATTTAAAAACAAGCTACTTAAATGGAAGCTGAGTGGTTGGTCCAGAGTTCTGTTGTTTGGTTTCCCCTCTACCCTAAAAGACCCTTTAGGTGCATTCATAGAAGCCAGATAGAGATAGGGGGAACATAGTTACAAGAATGCTAACCCTCTCTTCCATGTTTAAAAATTATTTTTACATCTTTATTTGCTATATATCATATTTCATTGTAATACAAACAATATCTGTCTCAAGCAGTCGATCCTCATTTGTTTATTATTTTAACCTAATATGGGCTAGAAAACTTGTTAGAAAATAAAGTTATTAAGCTTCTTTGACTTTTTCAAAATAGCAGAAAGACATCATTAAATCAACCATGAGTATACTTCATTTTACTACATGTAATCTTTTTAAGGTGTTTTGGTCTATTGTGTCTATTACAAATAGACTTGTATAAACTAAGACTTAAGAACCTCTTACCACAGTATAGTGACTCCAGAGATGAGTATTAGATACTAATATCATGGTATTTTTTCAAATATAAAAACTGCCTTGGTGAGTTGAAGTACTATTTAAATACGCATAGCATCCTAATTCGTGATTTCAGAAAAGAAGTGAATTTAATAGCAGTCTTTGTTAAAACAAGCAGTTTTCTGATATGTATATGGATTTGAGATTGTTGAAGTTACAGATATGAGATCTCTACATAGCATACTTGTATTTTAAAGTTGTCTGCATTCTTAAATCTCTTTTGGCCTTCAAAACAATTCTGTCAAGTATGCAGGGCAAGTGCTATTATCCCATTTGCAGATATAAAAATCTCATTTCCAAGAAGTGAAATGTTTACTCACTAAGCAATTATGATTAATTCCTTCAGGTTTATCATAATGCTATACTAAAAAAAACTCTTACTATTAAGAGGCACTGAAACAATTCTGTCTGAAGAAACAGTACAGAATCAATCTTTTCAGTAACTTTTACCAATTTAACTAACTATATGGTTCACATAGCTAAATATCCATAGTTTTACTGTATTTATTATATATTATATCAATATCATATGTTGATGTCAAAACCCATTATATTTAGAAAATATGTAATATCTCTGATTAAAAATAATTGTTTTAATATCAGGAATTAGTTTTAACATAAAGGAGTAGACATAGTTAGCCACTGCATTATGACAAATAATTACTACAGTCAAAGAACAAATTTGATGTTTTAAAAGAATTTTTAAACAAAGTGAATGAAAAGGAGAAAATAAAAGTTTAATGAGTGAAAAGATAGCAGTTATATCTTTAAACTGGTTTGTAAGGAGTGATTTTGATAATTTTGGATCAGATCAATGACATAGCAAATATTTTGTGTTGGCGATATTAATTTTATCAAATGGATTGGAAAGAAACAATAAACTAATTAGAGGGACATGGCAGTTGTCCACTGGAGAGGAAACAATGGTCTAAACTGCAGTAGAGTTAGAGTCAAAATATGCAAAGGAAAAGGGACAGATGCGAGTTACTAGAAGTAAAATCTAACAACATTTGTCTAATTGAATATGATAAATTAACAAAGAAGAAATGACGAAAGCTATTTAGAAGATAAGAAATTTGAAGAATGATGGCACCATTAAAATAATATAGGCAACCAGAAAAATGGGTAGATTGTAGAATGAAAGACTAGCAAGTTCAGTTAGAATATGCCAAGTTTCAGAGATGAGGTAGAAATATCTTACAAATTACTGAGATGAGGTTAGATTTTTTAAAAAAGTGTTCATTGGAGGTATAGGCTGGAAATAACTGCACTGACATAATAGAAGCAGTGTTAATTACAAATAAATTTGATAATGAAGACATTGTAAAACGGAGGAGAATGCCCCAAGGAGAAAGAGTAAAATGCCTACATTTTACTACATTTCAAAGTTAGATATCTTGCTTAATTCTCTCTCTCTCTCTCCCTCTCTCTTATTCTCTACCCTGCCCTCCTCTCTGCCCGTGTGTGTGTGTGTGTGTGTGTGTATGTGTGTGTGTGTGTGTAAGTCTTGTTTTGTTTCTGTTTTTGTTGTTGTTGGTTTGTTTGTTTTGAGACAGAGACAGAGTTTCACTCTTGTTGCCCAGGCTGGAGTGCAATGGTGCAATCTCGGCTCACTGCAAGCTCCGACTCCCAGGTTCAAGCAATTCTCCTGCCTCAGCCTCCTAAGTAGCTGGGATTACAGTCACCCGCTACCACACCCAGCTAATTTTTATATTTTTAGTTGAGACAGGGTTTCATCATGTTGGCCAGGCTGGTCTTGAACTCCTGACCTCAGGTGATCCACCCGCCTTGGCCTCCCAAAGTGCTGGGAGTACAGGTGTGAGCCACTGTGCCCAGCCATTGTTTATGTTCTCTAAATATTTCTCCATATCCCATATACTTTTAAGAAATTAGTTTTACTCTAGACCTTATTATTTATCACCTAAAACACTGCAATTACTTTCTAATTCATCTCCTTGCATTTATTCTTGCAATCTATTTTCTCCAATTTGGTTAAATGCCCTTTCTTGAAATAAAATGACCTTATCATGTCCTCTTAAAACCATTGAATGCTTTCCCGTCATTTCTATGAAAAAGTCTAAATATCTCAACTTGGTATAAAAGATGTTGCATCACCTAAGGTGCCCTAAATCACCACCTTCCAATTTACGTCTCTTCCATACCAGTCTTCCTTCAACTTTACAAATGTACAATGTCTTAATGCCCAGCTCTTTTCATGACTTTTCTTCCTACATGGAATATTCTTCTCTTTAACTTTTTTCTGAAAAACACATTTTTGCTCTTTCATTTTAGGTATTGATGTAACTGTTACCTCCTAAATGAATTATTCCTTTTTGTTTCCACACCTCTGATGTACTCTCTAACATTTCTTGTGCTTCACTATTTCTGGGAGGTTGACCTTATAACTGCATCACTAGAGGTTTTTTGTGTCTGTGTGTGTTGTGGCTTCCAGTTGCACTCTTCTAATGGGAGACACACACAGATCAGTGGGCAGAAGTAAAGAGACATCAAGGTCAAGGTAGTTCTTTTCTTCCCCCTTCTTTGACACTACTCTCTGGCAGTAGTTACATCTTTCTGTAATAACAATTTCCATCAAGTGGCCAAGTTCTGTGACTCCAATAAGACTATGTTCTCTCCTCTTTCCTTTTAGTCTTAGGAAAGGTGACCATTTTGTAATGTTACTAGTCTCTGAGCATCTCAACATCTCAACATCCTCTGTTTAGTTAACTGTGCACACATTCTATTTGAAATACATTCATTAATGTTTCTCTCTGAGTGAATCTCTACAATACCAATACCTAGTTGATGTTGTAATTGATACGAGGAGTGGTCCCAGAAATTTGGTGACTACCATAAGATTCTGGATCTGTGTTGCTCACATATTTGATGAACATATGATCTCCAGTCAGGGAAAAAGGTAATAATCCTAATTTGCAGCATGCATCGCACCACAATTACCCAGGTTACCATTGGTTGTAGTTCAGGATAGATTAGCAATAGACCATAAATACTTGGGTGATCATGTGGCTCATGTTATTCATTGTTATGGCAACAGAGATGAATAGAAAGAATGTAGGCTGATATCATCAGACAGTACTGGAAAACATAAAACATTATCTTAAGGAACTCATACACCCAATTCAAGAGTAAAGAAGTGAACCTTTAAAAAAAAAAAAAGACTTATATGGGGCCTTAAAAAAATTCTATTTATTCCAATAGCTACAGGCTGACAGGGCTAAGCCTCTGTCCCTGAAACTGACTATCTGTATTTCACAGTTACTATGCCAATGCATAAACTCATCAAGTCTTTTCTTATGCTATGGATAGGAAAGTGATTAGAAGAAGTAGATCCCTGATGAGTTGAGGTAGAGACATTTGAGCACACATTAATGGTTTGAACGGACAAGTCAAATCTTTCTTTGCTTAAATATCTTGCAATGACTTTGGCTGGAGTAGGTATCTCTCAAGGAAATACCACTTTTCCAAAAGACACAAACTCTACACCCCTCACTGCCTGCTGAGTTAAATACTAGCATTTCACAGAGGACGAATTGCAAGATCTTTTCCAAGAGTACGAAGAGTACATACAAATATATCTGCAAGATCTTTCCCTGAAGACTATGTGTTAGAATTGACTCTGTTGTTATTAGATCAAACAAAACAAAATATGATGTTACATAATAACAGATGTTTCAATGTTGGGAAATTTACTTGGAATTTGTTTGTTTACCTGAAACACTTGCAATGCTCTATGAGCTCTCTTGGTTGGTTACTTGAAGCCTGAATTCAGTAGTGGCTTCCCATCAATGAGATAAAGATTCCAGAAATTGTCTTTAATACTGTGAAGGATATGATAATATCAGAGCAGATCTATTGTATGCAACTTTCCCTGACACACAGAGCAGAGAAAATGTACACATCTGGAGGATCTAGAAGATATTCCTACCCAAAGGTAACTAAAAAAAGTTTCTGGCGGAGCACCAGCATTTTCTCTAAAATTCTTTGATGTTACCCCACTGTAACCTGAAAATGCTAATGTGCCATTTAACTGCACTCTTCATCAATGTGAACAATTGGACCAAAAATTATAGAAGCTGGATGTTGGCGTCTACTAATGATCAGAGACAAGATAGCCACAAAAGACCGGAGGGCCAAAGTTGCATTCAAAATATTTTAACCACAGGATCTGTGGCAGTAGTTAATTGATTATTAAGTCCCTGTGAATGAAAGAGATGGGTAGTCATTATGATGTTGGTTCATCTATATATTCAGAGAAAACCATGTTTTTGGAATTGTGTAGTTTTACTGAGTTCCATATCTGAGCCATTTCATGTACCTAGAACCCCTAACTTATAGAGCAAGACTAGTTCATCATGGGTAACACTCTGCAGTGGAGGGTCAAATGCATATTTTAAATCTTCCTCCAAGCCATTACCAGAGGAACCTGTGGACACATACAATAATGTTTGTACATGGCTATGATAGAAATACATAGAACATTCTGGGAGTTATTGAATGGTCAGTCCAAAGTAACATTTGTTCCTATAAAACAGAAACACTACCATGATTCAGTCATCAGTATGGTTAATTACAGAGGTTACATGACAGATGAAATTGTATCCAGAATCCAATTTTCAGTGGATCCAATGGTTATTTCTCTTGTGTCTGAAAGTATAGTTAAAATAAACACATTTGAAGAATAGTAGAAAACGTATATCTGTTCCTTCACCTGTGTAATATAGCTATATCAGTGGGAAGAAGCAAGCTAAATGAAGAATAATCCCCTGAAAGTTGACAATCTTCTACCACTACAATAATAATCTAAACATGTTCCAAATTGGCATGGTCTCTGACACCCAATGTGCATCTATTGTCTCAGCAAATTTCTCTTAAAAATTTTCCAATTAGTTACAACAACCAGAAATTTGTCTTACTTAGCTGGGACAGCCATATGTCTTTACAGTCTTAAATCAAGGTCAGAACAAATCTACTGCATTCTGCCATATATGACCTATGAGAACATTTTAGTGTCCCAGAAAATATCATAATTGAACATTACATTGATGACATTATTTTACTTTGTGAGCTAAAAGTAGCAAGTATCCTATATGGCATAGTAGTGTGACACATTTTAGAGGATGAGAGAAAAACCCCAAAACATATTTAGAGGTCTATCACATTAGTGAAGTTTTAGGGTTCCAATGCTCTTGGAATGTCAAGATGTTTCTCTGAAATGAGTGATAATTTGCAACATCTTGCACTGCTGCAACATATGGTGAGCCTATTTATGTTTGATGTCTGCTATTCTGTCTACTTATTTGGTAAGCAACAAGTCTGTCAGTTTTAACTGGGCCCAATGTAAAATGCATCTCTGTGGCAGTTGTGGGTCTTAGGTCCACCACTAGGATAAGTGTATGCTATGGTTAGCTGCTATCTACAGAAGGAGATACATGTAGAGGATACCTGAATACAACATACAGACTGAAAATTCACCAGTGAGAAGCCACATTTGTTGTAATCTAAAGAGGTGTTAGGATTTTCTGTCACATGTGCTTATCGAAAAAATAGCAGAATAATACAACAGGTTTAGAGGTCTTACTTAAAAGGGAGAAACACTTTTGCCAGGGAGCACATTCATGGGTGCTGAGCATGTTTATAGGCCTTTTGGCTTTTACATCTTCTAGAATCAACAGGCATCAAGATTATTTTACTGGTTGTGGAAATTATTCCCCATTAACAAGGGAAAATTGGGTCATTGCTACACACTGGAAAGTAGGAATGTTGTACCTGGAACCTAGGAAATTCACTCATATGCCTTCTAGAGCTTCTAAGTTCATTAATAATAGTAAATGGAAAAATGGGACAATCCAATAGAGACAGAATGACTTGCTACCCAGACTACGTTAGAGTAATAAATTAGGTCACCTATCTCATGAGGAAACTCTACAAAGTGATAGAGGAAAAGAAGGATACAAAATAAATGATAGTAAAGTTAAAGTTATGAATCTTAATATTGACCCCATAACCAGCAAGCATCAGGGTCTATAGAAATTATACTTATCATTTCTGATTGTTTGCCTCATTTTTTAGGCCAACCAACATGAAGAATAATGGTGATATGTATCATTATCTTTGGGTTCTGCATGAAAATAAAGCAATTCAACATCATCCCTCATTATTTAGTCTGATGGCAGTTATGCCTCACCTGAGTTGTCAGTGAGAATTCCTTCATTTGGTTAAATGGCAAGAATAAATGCTGAGTAGCAAAAGAAGTAATCTATACTCGTTGTATTTCATCCTCTCCCACCCTAATCCATTCATTCTCTGTTTTGTTCTGTACTCCAAGCGGTTGATATCATAATATGTATCGCGTGTGCTCTCTCTAGTTCAGTTTGGTCAATGACAAGCATGGGCAAGAGACTGAAAAGTGGGGAAACAAGAGTTCTAGGTATTTTTCCTCTCAGTACTGCAGGCTGTGACCCTTATGACTGTAGCTCCCAAAGGGCTGAAATTTCATTGCCCCAGTTCCTTCTGAACTTTAGTAGCACTCTTTCTTTCTTTTCTCCTTCAACCTTGGGGATAATAATGACTTGTTTCTGTTGTTAGCCTCTAGATGTCTCTAAAATCGAACTTATCTCTGGAAGCAGTCACCTCACTAACTCTCTTTAAGCTATCTGAGGGGATTTTATCTTATGGCCATGCCGCAAATCATAGACTTTTCTTTGATCACTTCCATCCCTCTAGTATGGGATATGTATTTTTTTGTATACTCGCATGGGCCTCTGGGAAATTCCTGTTATAACCCTATCACATGTTTTGGCATTCTCTGTTATATTGTTTATGTCCAATGTAAGATAAACCTGAAAGAAATATAGAACTTTCCTCTCCTGTTCACAGTTCTGTCTCCAGGCTAGGAAAGTATGTGATATATATAGCAAGTATTTAGAAGATTATTTTTAAATGAATGAATTAATGAAGAAAGAGTCAGAGTTTTTTTTTTAGTTTAGATTCAGGGGTTACAAGTGCATGTTTGTTATATGGGTAATTATGGAGAATGGGCGTCTAGTGTGCCCATCACCCAAATATTGAACACTGTATCTAATAGGTAAAGTTTTAACCCTCAAACCCCAAACCCCTCTTTCTCTCCCTCATTTTGGAAACTTCAGTTTCTGTTATTTCCATCTTTATGTCTATGTGTATCCATCGTTTAGTTCACACTTATAAGTGAGAACATGCAATATTTGATTTTCAGTTTGAGTTAGGTCACTTAGGATAATGGCTTTTAGTTTCATCCATGTTGCTGCAGAGGACATGATTTCATTCTTTTTTTATAGCTGCATTGTATTCTATGGTGTATATAAACCATATTTTCTTTGTCCATCAACCACTGATGAACACTTAGTTGGTTCCATAACTGCTGTTGTGAATAGTGCTGTAATAAACATGCAAGGGCAGGTGGCTTTTTCACGTAATGATTTATTTTCCTATTTTTTATTGTACTTTAAGTTCTGGGATACATGTGCAGAACGTGCAGGTTTGTTACATAGGTATACACGTACCATGATGGTTTGCTGCACCCATCAACCCGTCTCCTATATTAGATATTTCTCCTAATGCTATCCCTCTCCTAGCTCCCCACCCCACAACAGGCCCCGGTGTGTGATGTTCCCCTCTCTGTGTCCATGTGTTCTCATTGTTCAACTCCCACCTATGAGTGAGAACATGTGGTGTTTGCTTTTCTGTTCCTGTGTTGGTTTGCTGAGAATGATGGTTTACAGCTACATTCATGTCCCTGGAAAGGACATGAACTCATCCTTTTTAAGGCTGCATAGTATTCCACGGTGTATATGTGCCACATTTTATTTATCCAGTTTATCATTAATGGGCTTTTGGTTTGGTTCCAAGTCTTTGCTATTGTAAATAGTGCTTCAATAAAGATATGTGTGCATGTGTGCATGTGTCTTTATAGTAGAATAATTTATAACCCTTTGGATATATACCCAGTAATGGGATGGCTGGGTCAAATGGTTTTCTGGTGCTAGATCCTGAAGAAATCGCCACACTGTCTTCCACAATGGTTGAACAAATTTACACTCCCATCAACAGTGTAAAAGTGTTCCTATTTCTCCACATCCTCTCCAGAATCTGTTATTTCCTGACTTTTTTTTTTTTTTTTTTTTTTTTTTTGGCGGGGGCGGATGGAGCCTCGCTCTTTCACCCAGGCTGGAGTGCAGTGGCGCGATCTCGGCTCACTGCAACTTCCGCCTCTCAGGTTCAAGCGATTCTCCTGCTTCAGTCTCCCGAGTAGCTGGGACTACAGGCGCACGCCGCAGTCCCAGCCGGGCGCACGCCCGGCTAATTTTTTGTATTTTTAGTAGAGACGGGGTTTCACCATATTGCCCAGGCTGGTCTCGAACTCCTGAGCTCAGGCAATCTGCCTGCCTCGGCCTCCCAGAGTGCTAGGATTACAGACGTGAGCCACTGCGCCTGGCCTTCCTGACTTTTTAATGATCGCCATTCTAACTGGTGTGAGATGGAATCTCATTGTGATTTTCATTTGTATTTCTGTAATGACCAGTGATGATGAGCTTTTCTTCATATGTTTGTTGGCCACAAAAATGTCTTTTTTTGAGAAGCATCCATTCATATCCTCCACCTACTTTTTGATGGGGTTGTTTTTTTCTTTTAAATGTGTTTAAGTTCCTTGTAGATTCTGAATATTAGCCGTTTGTCAGATGGATAGATTGCAAAAATTTTCTCCCATTCTATAGGTTGCCTGTTCACTCTGATGATACTTTCTTTTGCTGTGCAGAAGCTCTTTAGGTAATTAGATCCCATTTTGTCAATTTTGGCTTTTGTTGCCATTGCTTTTGGTGTTTTAGTCATGAAGTCTCTGTCCATGCCTACGTCCTGAATGGTACTGCCCAAGATTTTTTTTCTGGGGTTTCTATGGTTTGAGGACTTCTGTTTAAGTCTTTAGTCCATCTTGAGTTAATTTTCATATAAGGTGTAAGGAAGGGGTTCAGTTTCAGTATTCTGCATATGGCCAGCCAGTTCTCCCAACACCATTTATTAAAAAGGGAATCCTTTCCCCATTGCTTGTTTTCATCAGGTTCGTCAAAGAGCAGATGGTTGTAGATGTGTAGTGTTATTTCTGAAGCCTCTGCTCTGTTCCATTGGTCTATATATCTGTTTTGGTACCAGTGCCATGCTGTTTTGGTTACTCTAGCCTTGTAGTATAGTTTGAAGTCAGGTAGCGTGGTGCCTCCGGCTTTGCTCTTTTTGCATAGGATTTTCTTGGCAATGCGGGCTCTTTTTTGGTTCCATATGAAAGTTAAAGTAGGTTCTTCTAATCCTGTAAAGAAAGTCAATGGTAGCTTGATGGGGATAGCATTAAATCTATAAATTACTTTGAGCAGTATGGCCATTTTCACAATAATGATTCTTTCTATGTGTAAGCATGGAATGTTTTTCCATTTGTTTGTGTCCTCTCTTATTTCCTTGAGCAGTGGTTTGTAGTTCTCCTTGAAGAGGTCCTTCACATCCTTTGTAAGTTGTATTCTTAGGTATTGAGAATGGGAGTTCACTCATCATTTGGCTCTCTGTTTCTCTATTATTGGTGTATAGGAATGCTTGTGATTTTTGCACATTGATTTTGTATCCTGAGACTTTGCTGAAGTTGTTTAATCAGCTTAAGGAGATTTTGGGCTGAGATGATGGGGTTTTCTAAATATACAATCATGTCAACTGCAAACAGAGACAATTTGACATTCTCTCTTCCTATTTGACTATGCTTTATTTCTTTCTCTTGTCTGATTGCCCTGGCCAGAACTTCCAGTAGTACGTTGAATAGGAGTGGTGAGAAAGGGCAGCCTTGTCTTGTGCTGGTTTTCAAATGGAATGCTTCCAGCTTTTGCCCATTCAGTATGATATTGGCTGTGGGTTTGTCATTAATAGCTCTTATTATTTTCAGATATGTTCCATCAATACCTAGTTTATTCAGAGTTTCTAGCATGAAGGGGTGTTGAATTTTATCGAATAGCTTTTCTGCATTCATTGAGATAATCATGTGGTTTTGTCATTGGTTCTGTTTGTGTGATGGATTATATTTATTGATTTGCATATGTTGAACCAGCCTTGCATCCCATGGATGAAGCCAACTTGCTCGTGATGGATAAGCTTTTTGATGTGCTGCTGGATTCTGTTTGCCACTATTTTATTGAGGATTTTTGATCAATGTTCATCATGGATATTGGCCTGACATTTTCTTTTTTTGTTGTGTCTCTGCCAGGTTTTGGCATCAGGATGATGCTGGCCTCAAAAAATGAGTTAGGGAGGAGTCCCTCTTTTTCTATTGATTGGAATAGTTTCAGAAGGAATGGTACCAGCCCCTCTGTGAACCTCTGGAAAAATTCAGATTTGAATCCGTCTGTTCCTGAGCTTTTTTTGGTTGGTAGGCTATTAATTACTGCCTCAATTTCAGAACTTGTTATTCGTCTATTCAGGGATTCGTCTTCTTCCTGGTTTAGCCTTGGGAGGGTGTATGTGCTCAGGAATTTGTCCATTTCTTCTAGATTTTCCTAGCTTATTTGCATAGAGGTGTTTATAGTATTCTCTATGATACTATAGATATATTTGATATCTTGTGATAGTTTGTATTTCTGTGCGATGAGTGGTGATATCCCCTTTATCATTTTTTATTGTGTCTATTTGATTCTTCTCTCTTTTCTTCTCTATTAGTCTGGCTACTGTTCTATTTTGTTAATGTTTTCAAAAAAAAAAACTCCTGGATTCATTGATTTTTTGAAGGGATTTTTGTGTCTCTATCTCTTTCAGTTCTGCTCTGATCTTAATTATTTTCTGTCTTCTGCCAGCTATTGAATTTGTTTGCTCTTGCTTCTCTAATTCTTTTAATTGTGATGTCAGGGTGTCGATTTTGGATGTTTCTCACTTTTTCCTGTGGACATTTAGTGCTATAAATTTCCCTCTAACCACTGCTTTAGCTGTGTCCCAGATGTTCTAGTGCATTGTGTCTTTGTTCTCCCTAGTTTCAAAGAATTTATTTTATTTCTGCCTTAATTTTTTTATTTACTCAGTAGTAATTCAGGAGCCAGTTATTCAGTTTCCATGTAATTGTGCAGTTTTGAGTGAGTTTCTTAATACTGAGTTCTAACTTGATTGCACTGTGGTCTGAGAGACTGTTTGTTATGATTTCCATTCTTTTGCATTTGCTAAGGATTGTTTTACTTCCAATATGTGGTCAATTTTAGAATATGTGTAATGTGGTGCTGAGAAGAATGTATATTCTGTTGATTTGGGGTGGAGAGTTCTGCAGATGTCTATTAGGTCCACTTCACCCAGAGCTGAGTTCAAGTCCTGAATATCTTTCTTAATTTTCTGTCTCATTTATCTGTCTAATATTGACAGTGGGGTGTTAAAGTCTCCCATTATTATTGTGTGGGAGTCTAGGTCTCATTGTAGGTCTTTAAGAACTTGCTTTATGAATCTGGGTGCTCCTGTATTGGGTGCATGTATATTTAGGATAGTTAGCTCTCCTTGGTGCATTGATCCCTTTACCACTATGTAATGCCTTTCTTTGTCTTTTTTGATCTTTGTTGGTTTAAAATCTATTTTATCAGAGACTAGGATTGCAACCCCTGCTTTTTTATTTTTGCCTTCCATTTGCTTGGTAAGTGTTCCTCCATTCCTTTATTTTGAGCCTATGTGTGTCTTCGCACGTGAGATATGTCTCCTGAATACAGTACACCGATGGATCTTGACTCTTTATCCAATTTGCCAGTCTGTGTCTTTTAATTGGGGCATTTAGCCCATTTACATTTGAGGTTAATATTGTTATGTGTGAATTTGATCCTGTTATGATGATGTTAGCTGGTTATTTTGCCCATTAGTTTTTGCAGTTTCTTTGTAGTGTCATGATCTTTACTATTTGGTATGTTTTCGCAGTGGCTGGTACTGGTTTTTGCTTTCCATATTTAATGCTTCTTTCAGGAGCTCTTATAAGGCAGGCCTGGTGGTGACAAAATCTCTCAGCATTTCCTTCTCTGTAAAGGATTTTATTTCTCCTTTGCTTATGAAGCACAGTTTGGCTAGATATGAAATTCTGGGTTGAAAATTCTTTTCTTTAAGAATGTTGAATATTGGTCCCCACTCTCTTCTGGCTTGTAGGGTTTCTGCAGAGAGATTCACTGTTAGTCTAATGGGCTTCCCTTTGTGAGTAACCCAACATTTCTCTCTGGCTGCCCTTAACATTTTTTCCTTTGTTTCAACATTGGTGAATTTGACGATTATGCGTCTTGGGGTTGATCTTCTCAAGGAGTATCTTTGTGTTGTTCTCTGTATTTCCTGAATTTGAATTTTGGCCTGTCTTGCTAGGCCGGGGAAGTTCTCCTGGATAATATCCTGAAGAGTGTTTTCCAACTAGGTTGCATTCTCTCCGTCACTTTCAGGTACACCAATCAAACACAGATTTGGTCTTTGCACATAGTCCCATATTTTTTGGAGGCTTGTTCATTTCTTTTCATTCTTTTTTCTCTAATCTTGTCTTCACGGTTTATTTTACTGAGTTTATCTTCAACCTCTGATATCCTGTCTTTCACTTGATCGATTCAGCTGTTGGTAAGTGCATATGCTTCATGAAGTTCTTGTGCTGTTTTTTCAGCTCTATCAGGTCATTTATGTTCTTCTCTAAACTGGTTATTCTAGTTAGCAACTCCTCTAATCTTTTCTCAAGGTTCTTAGCTTCCTTGCATTGGGTTGGAACATGCTCCTTTAGCTCAGAGGAGTTTGCTATTACCCACCTTCTGAAGCCTACTTCTGTCAATTCATCAAACTCATTCTCCCTCCAGTTTTGTTCCCTTGCTGGCGAGGAGTTGTGATACTTCGGAGGAGAAGAGGCATTCTGGTTTTTGGAATTTTCAGCCTTTTTGCGCTAGTTTTTCCTCATCTTCATGGATTTATCTACCTTTGGTCTTTGATGTCGGTGACCTTCAGGTGGGGTTTTTGAGTGGATGTCCCTTTTGTTGATGTTGATGCTATTCCTCTTTGTTTGTTAGTTTTCCTTCTAATAGGCCCCTCTGCTGCAGGTCTGCTGGAGTTTGCTGGAGGTCCACTCCAGACCCTATTTGCCTGGGTATCACCAGCGGAGACTGCAAAACAGCAAAGATTGCTACCTGTTCCTTCTTCTAGTAGCTTTATCCCAAAAGGGCACCCACTAGATGCCAGCCAGAGCTCTCCTGTATGAGGTGTCTATTGACCCCTACTGGGCAGTGTCTCTGAGTCAGGAGGCACAGGGGTCAGGGACCCACTTGAAGAGGCAGTCTGTCCCTTAGCAGAGCTCAAAGGCTGTGCTGAGAGATCTGCTGCTCTCTTCAGGGCCGGCAAGCAGGAACATTTAAGTTTGTTGAAGCTGTACCCACAGTCACCCCTTCCCCCAGGTGCTCTGTCCCCGGGAGATGGGAGTTTTAACTCTAAGCCCCTGACTGGGGCTGCTTCCCTGCCCAGAGAGGAGGAATCTAGAGAGACAGTCTGGCTACAATGGCTGTGCAGTGCTGAGGTGGGCTCCACCCAGTTTGAACTTCCCAGTGGCTTTGTTTACACTGAGGGGAAAACCACATACTCAAGCCTCAGTAATGGCAGACGCCCTTCTCCCCACCAAGCTTCAGTGTCCCAGGTCGACTACAGACTGCTGTGCTGGCAGTAAGAATTTTAAGCCAGTGGATCTTAGCTTGCTGGGCTCCATGGGGGTGGGATCTGCTGAGCAAGATCACTTGGTTCCCTGGCTTCAGCCCCCTTTCCAGGGGAGTGAATGGTTCTGTCTCACTGGTGTTCCAGGCACCACTGGGGTATGGAAAAAAACTCCTGCAGCTAGCTCGGTGTCTGGCCAAATGGCCACACAGTTTTGTGCTTGGAACCCAGGGCCCTGGTGGTATAGGCACCCGAGGGAATCTCCTGGTCTGCGGGTTGTGAAGACCATGGGAAAAGCATAGTATCTGGGCTGGAATGCACTTTTCCTCATGGCAAAGTCTCTCACAGCTTCCCTTGACTGTGGACATTTAGTGCTATAAATTTCCCTCTAACCACTGCTTGTGGTTACTGACCACTGACTAGGGGAAGGAGTTCCCCAAACACTTATGCTTCCTGGGTGAGGCAACGACCCCACCCTGCTTTGGCTCACCCACTGAGGGCTGCACCCACTGTCTAACCAGTCCTTATGAGATGAGCCGGGTACCTCAGTTGGAAATGCAGAAATCACCCACTTTCTGCATTGATCTCGTTGGGAGCTGCAGACTGGAGCTGTTCCTAGTCGGCCATCTTGCCATCCACCCTCCTTATTTTCCTTTCAATTGACACCCAGCAGTGATATTTCTGGCTTAAATTGTAGTTCTATTTTCAGCAGTTTGAAATATCTCCATACTGTTTTCACAAGAGGTTGAACTAATTTACATTCCCACCAACAGTGTATAAGCATTCTTTTTTCTCTACATTCATGACAACATCTATTGTTTTTTGACTTTTTAATAATGGCCACTCTGACTGCTATAAAATGATATCTCAGTGTGACTTAAATTTGCATTTCTCTCATGATTACTGATGATGAGCATTTTTTTCATATGTATGTATGTTAGTCGTCTTCTGAGAAGTATCTTGTCGTGTCCTTTGCCCAATTTTTAATGAAGTTATTTGCTTTTTCCTGGTGAGTTGTTTGAGTTTCTTGTAGATTCTAAATATTAGTCCTTTGCCAAGAGGCCTAATTTGCAAATATTTTCTCTCAGTCTGTAGGTTGTCTTTTTTCACTTTTGATTATTTCTTTTGCTGTGGAGAAGCTCTTTTGTTTAATTGAGTCCCATTTGCCTATTTTTTATGGTTTTTAATTTGCTTTTGGTGTCTTTGTCATAAATTATTTGCCCAAGACAATGTATGGAAGAGTTTTTTCTAGGTTTTCTTCTAGAATTTTATAGTTTCAGTTCTTACATTTAGTTCTTTAATCAATCTTGAGGTAATTTTTGTATATGATGAGAGATACAGGTCAAGTTTCATTCTTCTGCATATGATTATCCAATTTTCCCATTATAATTTGTCAGATAGGGTGTCCTTTCCTCATTGTTAATTTTTGTTGACTTTGTTGAAGATCAGTTTGTTATAGGTACGTGGTCTTATTTCTGAGTTCTCTACTCTGTTCCATTGATCCATGTTTCTATTTTTATACCAGTTACCATGCTGTTTTAGTTAATATAACCTCATAGTATAATTTGAAGTAAGGCAATGTGATACCTCCAGATTTGTTCTTTTTGCATAGGATTGCTTTGACTAGTCAGGCTTTTTTTGTGGCAAATGAACTTTAGGATTATTTTTTCCAATTATGTGAAAAATGACACTGGTAATTTAATAGGATTTGTGTTAAATCTGTAGCTTGCTTTGAGCAATATGGTTATTTTAACAGTACTGATTCTTCCAATCCATTAGCATGTGATGTTTTTTCATTTGTTTGTGTCATCTCTGATTTCTTTCATCAGTGTTTCATAGTTCTCCTCATAGAGATCTTTTATCTCCTTGATTAAATGTATTCCTTGGTATTTTATTTTCACTGTGGCTACTGTAAATGGGATAAAGTTCTTTATTTGGTGTATAGTAATGATACTGATTTTGTACATTGATTTTGTATCCTGAAACTTTACTGAAGTTGTTTATAAAGTAGAGGAGTCTTTTGGAGGAGTGTTTAGGGTTTCTAGGTATATAATAATGTTATCAGCAAACAGACATCATTTGACTTCCTCTTTTCCAAGTTGAATGTCTTTAATTTCTTTCTCTTGCCTAGTTGTTCTGGTGAGTACTTATAGTACTATGCAGAATAGGAGTGATGAGAATGGACACTATTATCTTGTTCCAGTTCACAGGAGGAAGGCTTTCAGTTTTTGCTCATTCAGTATGATATTGACTATGGGTTTGTCAGTCATGGCTGCTATTATTTTGAAGGATATTCCATTGATGCATAGTTTGTTGAGGGCTTTTATAATGAAGAAATATTGAATTTTATTGAATGCTTCTTCTGCATCTATTGAGATGATCATATGGTTTTTGTTCTTAGTTCTGTTTACATGGTGAATCCTGTTTATTGATTCATTTATGTTGAAATATCCTTGCATCTCCACACTAAAGAAAACCCACTTGATCATGATGAATTATCTTTTTGATGTGCTATTGGATTTGATTTGCTAATATTTTGTTGAGCAACTTTGTATCTATGATCATTGGGATATTGGCTGCTTCTTTTCTCCTTTTTTAATGTTTTTGAATGATTTTCATATCAGAGTAATATAAGATTCATAGAATGAGTTAAGGAGGAATGCCTGGTCCTCAATTTTTTGGAATAATTTTAGTACATGGATACCAGCTTGTTGTTGTACATCTGGTGGAATTCAGCTGTGAATCTGTCTGGTTCCGAGATTTCTTTGTTGTTGCTGGAAGCTTTTTTACTACTAATTTGATTTTATTACACATTATTGGTCTATTCAGAATTTCTATTTCTTTCTGGTTCAATCTTGGGAGGCTGTATATATCCAGAATTTTATTAATTTTCTCTAGGTTTTCTAGTTTGTACATATAGAGGTGTTCATAGTAGACTCTGATAATACTATAAATTACTGTTGTGTCAGCTGTTATGTCACCTTCATCATTTCTGATTGTACTTATTTGAATTGTCTTTTTCTTTTGATTAATCTTGCTGGTGGTCTGTCAACTGTGTTTATCCTTTTTGGAGAAACAACTTTTTGTTTTATTGATCCTTTGTGGCTTTTCATCTCAATCTCCTTTAGTTCTGCTATATTTGTTATCTCTTTTCTTTTGCTAGCTTTGGACTTGGTTTATTTTTGTTTTTGTATGTCTTTGAGACGTGACATTAGATGGTTAACTTGAGACTTTTGTATCTTCTTTATGTAGACATTTAATGCTATAAACTTCTTTTAGCATTGTTTTTGCTGTATTCCAGTGGTTTGGTATACTGTGTCTCTACTTTCATTAGTTTTAAATAATTTTTTAATTCTTTTCTCATATTATTTGAGTTGGTGAAAAAATAGTATTTTAAATCCTGCCTTAATTTTATTGTTTAATTATCAGTCATTCTGGAGCAAGTTGTTTAGTTTCCATGTATCAGTGTAGTTTTTAGAGTTCCTCTTGGTATTGATTTCTAATTTTATTCCATTGTGGTCCAAGAAGATACTTAATATGATTTTTATCTTGTAAAATGTATTCAGACTTGCTTTATAGCCACATATATGGTCAAATTTGAAGAATATTCAATCAACATATGAGAAGAATCTATATTTTGCAATTGTTGAGTAGAAAGTTCTGTAAATGTCTATGAGCTCCATTTGGTCTAAATTCCAATTTATGTCAAGGTTTTTTGTTTGTTTATTCTCTGCCTCAGTCATCTTTGTAGTAATATTAGTGGAATATTAAAGTTCCCTACTATTATTGTATTTCCATCAGTCTGTTTTCTAGGTCTAGCAGTATTTTTTTTTTTTTTATGAATCTGGGTGCTTCAGTGATGAGTGCATATATATATATATGATAGTTAAATCTTCTTCTTGTATTAAGAGGCTTATTATTATATATTGTTCTTTTTCTGTTCTTACTGTTGTTTAAGGTTTGTTTATATGATAATGGCTACCTCTCTTCTCTTCTGTTTTTCAATTGTGTAATGTATCATTTTGGACTCTTTTGAGTGTGAGGTGTTATTAGCCAATAGATGTGTCTCTGTAGGCAACTGGTGGTTGGGTATTATTTGAATCAAATTTTCCACTGTGTATCTTTCAAGTGGATCATTTAGGCCAGGGATGCCCAATCATTTGGCTTCCCTTGGCCAAAATGGAAGAAAAATAGTTGTCTTAGGCCACACATTAAAATATACTAACACTAATGATAGCTGATGACCTAAAAATTGCAAAAAAAAAAAAAAAAAAAAAATCTCGTGTTTTAAAAAAGTTTACAAATTTGTGTTAGGCTGCAGGTTAAACAAGCTTGATTTGGGCCATCTCTATTCAAGGTTAATATTGTTATGTGGGGTTTAGTTCCTGTTACATTGTTGTTAGCTAGGTGTTTTGGAGTGTTAATTGGGTAATTGCTTTATAAGATCTAAGAGTTTTGTACTTAATGTGTCCTTTTATGATGATGAGCATCATCCTTCAATTTCCATTGTTGAACTTCTTTAATCATTTCTTGTAGGTTCAGTCTATTGGTGACAAATTCCGTCAGAATTTACTTGTCTGGAAAATACTTGATTTCTCCTTCATTTATGCAGCTTATTTTGGCACGATATGAACTTCTTGGCCAGCATCTTTTTTTCTTAACGGAGGATAAAAATAGGCCCTCAATCTTTCCTGGCTTGTATGTTTTCTGCTGAAAAGTTTGTTGTTTGATGAGTTTTTTTCTTTAGTGATTTAACCCTTTTCTTCAGCTGCCTTTCAGATTTTTATTTTTATTTGTTTTGCATTTACCTTGGACGGTCTGGTGACTGTATACTTTGATGATGTTCATCTTGTATAGTGTGAAATTATAGTTAATTATTCTCTCAAATATGTTTTCCAGGTTGCTTGTTTTTTCTTCTTCTTTCTCTGGAATGCCTGTAAGTTGTAGGTTTTATCATTTTACATAGTAAATCTCATATTTCTCAAAGGCTTTGTGCATTTTTTTAAAAATTCTTTTTTCTTTATTTTTGTCTGACTGGATTAATTCAAAAGACCAGCTTTCGAGCTCTGAAATTCTTTCTCTTTTTTTTGGTCCAGTCTATTATGCTGTATTTTGAAATTCCTTAAGTAATTATTTATTTCCGAAAGTCTTTTTTTCCCCTAAGATACATACCTCTTCCCTCTTCCTTTATTTCCTGGGTTGCTTTTGTGTTGATTTTCAACCTTCCCTTGGATCTCATTGAGCTTCATTGCAATCCATACTTTTAATTCTTCATATGCTATTTCTGAGTTCTCATTTTGGTCCTTTGCTAAAGAGCTAGTGTGATCCTTTGGTGATTTCACAACATTCAGATTTGTCAAGGTACCTGCATTTTTATGTTTCCTGAACATCTGGAGAAACTGACACTTCTTATTTTGAATTTATTTTCATTCATATGGGATTTTCTTTTCTCTGTTATTTCCCACCTTGAGACTGTGACTGTAGAATATGTTGGGTAGGGCCTTTTGGTTTTGCTTCTATAGCCCTGTACACTTTTGTTGGGAGGTTTTATATTGGTCAGTGCAGTGTAGTCTGAAGGCCAGTGTGTAGTGCTTATGGATATGAACCAGCTGTGGCACAAGAAGATGGCTGTGTACTTGATCTTTGTTTACTGTGAGGCATTCTCTGTTTCAAATGATGGGCTGGACAATGGAGTGCTTGTTGACCTGAGCTTCCTATTCAGCAAAGAAGTATGGGAGACAGCTGGGCAGTGCTGGACCCCGTGACTTCCCTATTAATACCCCAGTGATGAGAACAGACACCAACCCTGATGGGGGTGACTAGGGGATCTCCTAATGAAATGCACCACGTTCTCTGAGGGAGTGAGGGGGCTGAACCAGCTCCATGTCCTAGATAGTCAGGAACACAATTTATTTCTCTATCACATCTCTGTTCTGGGGCTCATGACTCTCAGTCCATGTGCAATTATTTTCTGTCTCAAGGCCATAGTGTAGCTGAGAGCCATGGAAAGCACCTGTCCCATGGCTTTCCATACGAGTGATTCTGAGGAAGAACCCCTTTACTCAGGGCAACACATATAACTTTATGGCTCACCTATTTTCTAATGTGGTAATGCTACTGCTTTGTTTAGAGAGGGGAAGGGCTCTGCTGTTTGGCTCATGCAGGTGTGTGTCAGATGTCATGGTGTTAGCTGGTGAAGTTGGCCCGATCTCAGTACTCAGGGGAGCAGGCTGGTGCCAGCAGTGTTGACTAGGCTAGATAATTCCCCAGTCCCAGGCCCCAGATGGCCCACTGGATGGGATGTGAGTTCTGAAGGGGCTGGAACAGGATTGAGCCAGCACAGCGTTCAGGTTCTGGTTGTGATGGAGAGGGGCAGGGTGGTCATCCCTGGGTCACCAGCAGAACTCTCAAGTTGGGGTAAGCAGAGCACTCAGGCAGTGGGAACCCAAAGGCAGATCACAGGCCTGGGATCTCTGATAGGTTCCAGGCTGCAGCCGAAATAGTCTGGTGGGAGCCATGTGACTGTGAGTCTTTTACAAGCGAGGGCAGGCCTTCTCAGCTGGGGCAATGGAGAGTGGCAGCTGTGAGGCGTGTGGTCTGCTCACATTCCCCTCCCACAGAAGTGGTGCTTGATTTCACTGTTGGGGACATGTAAAAGTGTCCAGCCTTTCTGCTCCTTCCTTGACCTGGGGCTAGCAGGGGGGAAGGCAGCAGTGGTGATGACAACTAATACAGCAGGTAGAGCAGAAACACTTATTGGTGGTCTCTAAAGGTTGGGCTCTTAGAGGTACTCTGTGTTCAGGCAGGGGTAGGGAGGCTCCAAGGTGCCTGTCATTGATGCAAGCAAGTCCATTTGGTGGGGAGCAGTGGAGGCAAGGAGTCATGTGGTATTTAGTTTGCCTGCTCCTCTATTTGGAGGTTGTGGTATCTCTCTTGGGGGGTGTATGAAAGTGCCCAGCCTCTCTGCTCCCTACCTGGGCCACGGACAGCAGGAGTGGGTGCGCAGCAACTGTTGTGAGAGTGGAAAGACTCTAAGGCTCTTAGGTAACCTCTGGGAGTTGGTACCATAGATGAATGCTGAACTGAAACTATAGTAGAACCACAGAATTCAAAGGATTCCTCCAGGCTTTCAGGGGTAAATTACAATTTGGTCTCCTAAGGACTCAAAGCAAGAAAAGTAAATGAAAATAAATGAAAAAGAGAATAAAACAATGACAAGATTATGTATACGTCTCAGCTAAAAAGAGATAAATAGAATAAGTGCATGAACAAGGGAGGTCACCTCTTTAAACAAGTTTATTTCAACATATTTTATTCTTTTGGTTTCTGTTGGGATTAGAATTCTTTTATTATTCCTCTTCAGGTAGTTCATTGCTTGTGTATAGAAAGAAGACTGAATTCTGTACTCTGCAAATTTATTGAATTTATTTGTTCTAACAGATTTTTGTTTAGTCTTCAGGGTTTTCTACATATAAGACCACGTCATTTGCATGCAGAGATAATTTTTGCTTCTTCTCTTCTGATTTGGAAGCCTTTGTTTTTTATTTTTTGTCTAATTGCTCTGAATATGACTTCTAGTATTATGTTGAAGGCAAGTGGCAAGGGTGATCATCCTTACCTTGTACCAGATTGTAAAGAAAAAGCTTTTTGTTTTTCCTCATTGATTGTAATGTAAGCTGTAGGCTGTTCATAGATGGCCTTTTTTATATTGAAGTAACTAACTTCAATGCCTATCTTGCTGACACTTTTTATTATAAATGAATGCAGAATTATCTCAACTGTTTTTCTTCATCAATTAAGGGCACTGAAAATTATAAAACATTGATGAGAGAAATTAAAGAAGAATCAGATGAATAAAAATATATCCATGTTCCTGAATGGAAAGACTTAATATTGTTGAAATGTCCAGAATACTCAAAGTGATCCACAGTTTTAATACAGTCCCTATAAAAATCCCTGTGGCATTCTTTACAAAAAGTAGGAAAAAAATTCTAAAAGTAATATGGATCTAAAAAAGACACTGAATAGCCAAATCAATTTTGAGCAAGAAGAACAAAGCTGAAGGCATCACCTTTCCTGATTTCAAAACATATTACAAAGCTACGATAATAAAATTAATATGGTACTGGTATGAAAACAAATATAGATAAATAGAAACAAAATAGCCTAGAAATAAATCCACATATCTATAGTCAACTGATCTTTGACAAAGGTGCAACCTGCCCTAACAGGAAATGAAAGGGAGTTGAACATGGGTGTTTACATTGTGACTTTCACAGGTTACTTCTTTTACCTGGAAGACAGTCTAATGTCTAGTTGTCCAACCCAAAACCAGGGGTACCCTCACATGGAAAACTTGTTTATGCTGGCAGATGCACTCGTAGCTCTTGTCTGACCCATGGCCCACTGGACTATTGCTCTGGTTATGGGAACCTGGCCTTATGTTTTCCTGGTGTCCTGGAGAAACCACCCTATAGCAGCCTCTCATTCTTCAGATGGAAGCCACACATTCAATACACCACAACAGAAAACACGTTCAAAGATTTTTACCTACAGAAAATGAGCAAGGAGTATATAATGAGTAGGGAGGTCATACAAAACAGCAACAAAGAATCAGGCAGACAGAGAGAGAAAGGGAGAGAGAGAACATGGCAACTAACAGTATATATAAGGGAGTAAGATGTGGGCCAGTTTAAGTTCACAGGCAAATATCTGAATTGTTCCTCTAAAAAAGCTGCAGGAAAGCAGGGAGTTCAGTCTTGGTGGAAGAGCTACCTCTAAATTATTATCTCTGGACACCAGCTTGAATCATTTAGGTGTGGAATAAAACGGTAAACTGTGTCAAGGATGACTGAATCTTACTTCGGGTATGAGAAAGTTAAACTTGTATTCAAAATGGATACCAAAGCAACACGAAATTATGAGAATGTACTACAGAGGCTTACAGGTGAAAATTTTCAAGGAGAGATAGAATTGTTTTGATAAATGGTTGAAGTAGAATAAAGATTGAAATACTTGAAGTTATGAAGTGTTTAAGATACAAACAATTAGGCCAAGGTATCAAAAACGTATCAACTTTGCTATAGGGGTTTTGCGAGGAATAATAACAAGACTAATAAGTCCATTTATTAAATACCTACTCTCCATGCCAGCCTTTAGACCACGTGCTTTGGGTAACTCCTGTAATCTTTTTAAGTTCACTATAAATAGTTAACTACTTGTTGGAAAGAACAGCAAAGTCACATTGCAAAGAACATCAACATAAAGGCAATTGATCACAGCCATCAATGCAAATACTCGATCATAGTATATTAGGTAATTATCACAGTTAAAATTCAATCCTGATCAGCCTGGCCTTAATACCAATTTGCATTCTCTCTCATTATTGGTAATGAATGAGTGAAGAGGATGACTGTTACTCAAGATTTGAATCACCAACAATAGGATAGTAGCCTATCTGTTGATGAACCACAGCAATGGTTATTGGGGAAGGGTAGTATAAGCAAATGACGTGGACTTCAGTAGAGAATATAAAACACCGACTCTTATATTTCCCAGTAACAAGAAATATATGACAAAAAAGCCACACTTTCTGGGAATTCGTGCCTCCAAAGTGGACAACAAGGTCAAGGAAAAGACAAGTTTAAGTGAAAGAATGGAAATGTAAGGTAAATGCTGAGAATTTGGTCGTGAAATTTTGTTCTCAGTCTGAAAATCATAGAACTCATGGAGGGATGAACAAAGGAAATGGACTGACATTAATGAAGAATGGAAACAGTATAAGCATTCTATTCAAACAATATATAGATGATAAAATTGCGTTCAAATGGACCATCCAAATATAAATAAAATATGAAAAGGGACATAGGAACTAAAGGGTGAATGAATGGAAGAGGAAATATGAGTAACAAAATCTTGGACAAATAGTAATTGAACAGTCAAAGAAATCAAAGAAACAATTTGATCTATTTGTTGAACACCAGAAATGTAATTGTGTAGAGTTACAAATAGTTCAATATAAAACACCAACAACAAACCCACAGTGAGGGGAGAATCAGAAGAATACTTAAGTTCTTGAACTCTACTTGAAGTGGTACAATATTATTGAAGATAGATTGTGATACCTTAAAGATGTATACTGGAAACTCAGAATAAATCAATAATAAAATAAGAATTATAGCTAATAAACCAACAAAGAAATAAAATGGAATTCTAAAAAAATGTTTAGTTAATGGAAAATACAGAAAAAGAAAAAAAAAGAAACAAAAAGGAAAAGGGATATATTAAAAACTAATGGAAGATGATAGGTACAAATCCAACCATCTGTAAAAGATTAAATACAAATAAAATGCAGATATGAACTAAAAGGCAAAGATTGTCAGATTAGGTTTTTAGGAAATAAGCCTGAAATAAAATCTCGTTACTAAAATCACATAATAAATGTAAAGGCATGAGTAGGTTAAAACAGAGGGGGAAAAGTTATATTATATTAACACTAATGAAAGAAGAATGGACAGGACATATGAATATTGAACCAGTAGATTTTAAAGCACAAGATATTACCAGAATTTTTGAAACGTTATTTCATAATATTGAGGTCAGTTAAAAATAACAATCCTAGATATGAATGCACTAATAACACAGCTTAACATACATGAAATGAAAACTGAGAGAAACAGAAGGGGAAATAGACATATCCACAATTATTCCCACAGATTTTCCATCAATAATTGATATAAAAGAAGATATAAAATCAAAACATATAGAAAATATGAGCATCACTACTTACCAACTTAATCTACACAACATTCATAAAATACTGCAACCAACTGAAGCAAAAAAAATGACAAAAATATTTGCCAAGACAGACCATATTTTGGCTCACCAAATTAGTATCTACAAGTTTGAATAGTTTCAAATCATGCACTGTATGTTCTCTGACCACAATGGAATTAAATTATAAATCAACAGCTGAAAGATATCTAAAGCTCCTCTCTCCAAAAAAATTAAATAACACATTTCTAAATAGTCTATAGGTCAAAAAATAAGCAAAAGCAATACATGTATTTGAACAGAGTAAAAATGAAAACACAGCATATGAAAATTTGTGGGAAGCAGCTAAAATAGTATTTAGAGGAAATTTATAGCAATATACACTACATTTGAGAAAAATAAAGTCATCAAGTCAATAATATTATGTTTCTCACTAAAAAACTAGAAAAACAAAACAAACAAATTAAACACGAAGGAATCAGGAAAATAAATCACAACTGTAAGTGAAGAAATCAATAGAAACAGAAAATCAATAGGGAAAACCACTGAAAACAAATGCTGATTATTTTATATCAAGAAAGTTGATAAATCTTTAACCCAACTACGAAGAAAAAACATATGATAAAATACACAACTTACCAATATTAGTAATGAGATACTTCTATGTCACATTCTGCAGATAAAGACTTGTGAAGAAATATTGTTATAAAATTATTTTAAGAAATTCAGCCTACATGAATTGGAAGAATTTCTTGAAAGACACAAACTACCAAAACAGAATGATAAAATATAGAAAAAAATTAATCATTGTAAATCTATTTTTTAAATTGTATTTGTACTTAGAAACCTCCCTTCATCAAGAATAGTAACAAAAACAAAAAGGTGCCAAGATGAATTCATTCTTGATTCTAATATTTAAGGAAGAAGTAAAAATAACTTTATACAACTACTTCCAGAGCATTAAAGTGGGATTGTACTTTCTAGCTCGTTATATGATGTTGACACTATCCTTATTCCAAAAACAGATACAGAAATTAAAAGAAAACTATATGTCAGTATTCTCCATGAACATAGATAAAAATATTCTTTAAAATAGTAATAATTAAGCAATATATGAAAATGATAATACATCCCTAGTAAGGTTTCTTGCAGAAATATAAATGTGCTTAAACATTCAAAAATTAATATAATCATATTCATAGACTAAAAAAGATAAACCACATTATCATCTCAATAGATACAAAAAGCATTTGAGAAAATACAGCGTTGATTCTTATAAAAACTCTCAGCACATTAGGAAGAGAAGGGAACTACCTTAACCTTATGAAAGCATCCACAAAAAATTTCCACTGTGAACATTACACTAAAATGTTGAAAGACTGCTTTCAGTCTGACACCAGCAACCAGGCAAGTATGTCTACCTTCACTACTTCTATGCAGCATTGTATGGGAGATCCTAGCCACTCCAGTAAGACAAGAAATAAAAGACATATAGATTGGAAAGAAAATATAAAATTAACTTTATTTGCAGATAATATGATTCACTAGGTAGTCACTCTGAAGGAATTTATTGGAAAAGCCACAAATAACCTTATGAGTAAGTTTTGCAAATATGAGAAAAATTTAAAAATCAATTTAATTTCTATATAGCAACAAAAGTTGAAAATTGAAATAATACCATATGGCATTTCATCGTAGGAAATATTCAGGCATGGACTTGAAAAAATGTATAAGAGATAAATAGAGCGGAGTGAGAACTTATAAAATATGCTGAGAAATTAAAAAAGGCACAAATAAATATTATAATAAATACTGTTTTGGGGAGGTTAGGAAACTCAGAATTGCTAAGAGGTCAATATTCACAAATATTCTCCATAGACTTAATGAAATTCCAGTCAAAACCCTCGGTCTTTTTCTACATATTTTCTATATATGGGCAAGCTAGTTCTAAAGTTTCTATGCAAACGTAAAGGATTTGGAATAAACAAAATAAATGTGAAAAACAAGAACAAAGCTTGATTATATATACTACTTAATTTCATGCCCTACCTATTAAAGTCTTTAGTAATCAAGACAATTGTATTAGTCTGTTTTCAAACTGCTGATAAAGACATACCTGAAACTGGGTAATTTGTAAGAAAAAGAGGGCAATGGACTCACAGTTCCACGTGGCTGGGGAGGCCTCAAAATCACGGCGGAAGGTGAAAGGCATGTCTCACATCGCAGCAGTCAAGAGAGAGAATGAGAACCTAGAAAAAAGGGTTTTCCCTTGTAAAACCATCAGATCTCAGGAGACTTATTCACCACCATGAGAACAATATAGGGGAAACCACCTCCATGAATTAATTATCTCCAACCTGGTCCTTCCCACAACACGTGGAGATTATGGGAGCTACAATTCAAGGTAAATTTTGGATGGAGACACAGTCAAACCGTATCAATGACGTAGTACAGAATGGGTATGCATAAATGGTCAGGCAAATAATTTCTGACAAGATGTCAAGGCAATTTTATGGAGAAAAGGATGATTACTTAAACAAATGTGGCTAGAACAACTGAATAAGCAAATGCAAAAAAAAAAAAGTTCAAGCATTACCTCACACTATATACAAAAGTAAACACAAATAGTTATAAACATATGTGTGCAGACTAAAATTATAGAGCTTCTAGAAGTAAATCATAGAAACCATAGGTTTTGCAAAAATGTCTTAAATATAATGAAAATCACGTACTAAAATAATCAATATACTGAGTCTCCCAGTATAAATTAAAAACTCTTCCACTTCAAAAGATGCTGCTAATTAATGAAAAAACAAGCCATAATACAAGGAGAAAATATATGCAAAACTTTATTTCATAAAGAACACTTCACCAATGAAGACATACAGATGTCAAATATCCATAGGAAATGATGCTCAAAATAATTGGCTATTAGACAAAGGCAAAAGAAAGCTAGAATAATATACCATTATATATCCACTGGAATAACTCAAGTGTTAAAACTTGGAAGGCAGTTTGTCAATTTCTTAAATAGTCACATATACACTTACTATATGACCTTGCCTTTTCACTCTTATATGTTTTCCCAAGAGAAATAAAAACATATCTATACACTGGTATACAAATATTCATAACAGCTTTATAATAACTAAAAACATAAAACAACTAATGTGTACATAAAAGTGTATGGGTAACAAGTAGTGGCATTCACACACAATGGAATACTACTCAGCAATGCCAAGAAATAAAATATGATAAACACACAACATGAATGAATCTGAAAATAAATATATTTTAACTTAAAGAAATTCAGACTGAAAAGAATACATACCATATAATGACATTTATATAAAGTTCTATGAAATGCAAACTAATTTGTTTCAGAAGTAGATCAATGATTTCATTGGTGAGGTGGACAGAGTGGGGCACCAACAGGATATGAAAGTTTTGGGATAGAGGAATCAAGATGACTGACTAGATACAGGTAGTATGTGCCTCTTCTACAAAGAGGAACCAGAAAAGTAAATAGATACTTACATTCTAAACATAAATTAGGAGATAACACTAGGCCTCATTAGAGAAGAGACAGAAAACTCTAGAAGGAAGTAAGGAGCGTGTTTAAGGCAGCTTGGCCAGCTGGAGACTAACTGAGGGCTGAGACAGACTCCTAGACACAGGGAAAGAGTAATACAGAAATCCCTAGGACTTCAAAATGGGCTTTTATAATTTTGGCTATGGGAGAAACCCTTGACCCACTAAGGTCTTGGGCCTAATATGTGGAGCTGCCTAAAGATTGCAGACAGGCGTTGCTCCAAAAAAGGAACCCACATGGAATCCCACAGGCATCTGAAACCACAGCAGCCTCAACTGAGAGCCCTTTTAAAAGACCCGATATCAAGGATCTACAGACAGGGATGCTGCCGCTGTACTGTTCCAAGGAGAGAGATGGGAGACCAGGCACTCCCACACACTTCCAGGAAGTTCCCTACCACTCTGCTACAGACAGCTTTTGAGACAGAGAAATGAATGGACCTCTCTCCCCACAGCTTCTTGCCCATATTGCTTGCGTGGGAAGGACACTGCCCTCTCTGGTACCAGGCCCAAGATCCTATCTTGACAGTTTAATGTTAGTTTGTGCTTCACTTTCAGACTGAGTTCAGGCTGACATTGGCACAGATGCTGCCTGGCCAAGGGGAGTCAGGGAAACGAGGCCCTCTTATGCACATCTAGGATAATATTCATTGCACTACATCAGGCTTCTGTTAAATGCAAAGGCAGGCAGGCCACACTCCCCACAGCTTCTTGCCCATGCTGCTAGCCTGGAAGGTGCTCCGCCCTCTTTGGTCACAAGCCCACAGCTGGAACAATTATGAGAGTTCAATGTTGGGCTATGCCTCATCCTTGGGCAGAGTCCAAGTTGACATGACTGCAGCCCCCACATAGCTGATGAGGGACAAAAAATCCAGGGTCACTTATGTATACCCAGAACAATACCCACCATCCCGCTCCAGGTTGCTGTGAGATTGAGACTCAAGTAGACTACACTCCTCATAGCTTGTTGCTCATGCTGCTCATCTGAGAGGTGTCCCACCCTGTCTAGTCATAAGCCTACAGCTGATACCATTTTGAGAGTTTAACATTGGGTTTTGCCCCACCCAGTTGAAGGTGACATGGCTGCAGCCAACACCCAGCTGTAGGAGGGGCAGAGGGGACCAAGCTCTTTTAAGCACATTTAGGAAAATACCCACTACCCTGTTGTGGTACTGAGGACTAGTCTGCCCAACCAGGAGAAACTACCAGGAACATCAGCAAGAATTGCTTGGGTCTCAGTGGTTTGCTCCATCATGGATACTGTCATCGCCTACAACACACCAGATGCTCAGGGGCCTGAAAACCCACCCACAAACTGTACTCTTGGCTCTCACAATTAGCTTCTAAACAAGCCACCTGGAACTTCAAGACGCAGCCCCTAAGAACCTAGTAACATTGGAATCAGAGTAAGCTGCTCTGGGGCCTAAAAACTGTCACATTTACTCTATAGCTACCAACACAAGGGCTCGAAGACTGGCTCAGTTGGTGTCAAAGTCCCTAGCAATATTTCATCACAACCTCAACTAATAACTGTACCCTAAGTCACAGAGGAAATCACAGATACTACTGATTCTATATGCTGCTGAAGGAGTGATACAATTGCGCTACCACAGGCACCCTAAAACAAAACCAAGATATCCTTCACAACCAATAACATATATACATCTTCAGGAAAAAATTCTCCCTTACCAAAGCAATTTCAAAAATTTGGAACAAGCGACTATGATACCACATATGTAGATATCAAAGGAAGGACACAGGAAACATGAAAAAGCTAGGAAATATGACACCATCAAGGGACCACAACAATCATCCAGCAAAAGATCTCAATCAAAAGCATTCTTTAAAACTCCAAATAAAAAAAAATAAAAATAACAAAGCGGAAGTTCTGCAAATAAAAAGTTCATTGACATAAATACAAAATACAAAAGTTTCAATAATAGACTAGACCACGCAGAAGAGGGAATCTCAGGTCTTTTGAAATAGTCAAACAAAAATATATATTAAAACAAAAAACAAACAAACAACAACAACAAAAAACACAGCCTTTGAGAGACGTATGAGACTACTTGAAACAAGAGACCTTACAAATTATTGGTATTCCTGGGGGTGAACAGGGATCAAAAACTTTTAAAAACTTATTTAAGAAAATAATCAATGAAAATGTCCTAAGACTAGCAAAAGAGTCAGACATTCAGATATAGGAGGCCCAGATACCATCACTGAAATACATTGTAAAAATGACTTCACCATAGCATATTATATTAGAAATGTCAAAAGTCAAAGTAAATGAAATAATTTTAAAGTTAGCAAGTGTCTAGCCATCTATAAAGGAAACTCCATCAGACTAACAGCAGACTTTTAAATAGAAATCCTTATAGGTCAGAAGAGAATAGGATGGCATTTTCAAAGTGCTGAAGAAAAACAAAATCTGTCAGCCAAGAATTTTAGAATAAATAAACTCTTTTCCAGGTAAACAAACACTTGAAGAATTTGTCTTCACTAGACCAGCCTAACAGGAAACGCTCAAAGGTGAAAATGAAACATGGAAACAAAAGTTTGATATTTACCATCACACAAATATACAAAAAGATAAAACTCACAGTTCTTATAAGACAATCACACAAACAGAAAGGACTCAAATGGCAAAACGACAGAATTTCATCAAGCCACAAAGATAAAAGCACAGTGAAAAAGAAACAAAGAATTTATAAAAAAACAACTTGCAGCTGGGCACGGTGTCTCATGCCTGCAATCTCAGCACTTTGGGAGGCCTAGGCAGGCAGGACACGAGGTCAGGAGATCGAGACCATCCTGGCTAACACTGTGAAGCCCCATCTCTACTAAAAACACACAAAAAAATTAGCTGGGCTTGGTGGCAGGTGCCTGTAGTCCCAGCTACTCAGCAGGCTGAGGCAGGAGAACGGCGTGAACCCATGAGGCAGAGCTTGCAGTGAGCCGAGATAGTGTCACTGTACTCCAGCCTGGGTGACAGAGCAAGACTCCATCAAAAAAAAAAAAAAAAAAAGGAAAAAAAAAAACAGAAACTTGCAAACAATGAACAATAACATAGGAACAAAGCCTTACATATTAATATTAACCTTGAATGTAAATGAATTAAATATTCCACTTAAAACATACAGATTAATAGAATAAATTAAAAAGAAATAAAATATGATCAAATTATATACTTTCTACAAGAACCTCACCTTACCCATAAAAACACATGTAAACTGAAAATGAAAGGTTGGATAAAGGTATTCCGTGCAAACAGATAGCAAAAATGAGTAGGATATACTTATATAAGATTAAATAAACTTTAAATCAAAAACAGTAATAAAAGAGACTGCCATTATATAATGACAAAGAAATGAATTCAATAAGATAATGTAATAATCCTAAATATGTATGCACCCAATATCAAGGCACCCAGATTGACAAAATAAATATTACTATACCTAAAAAAAACAGGGAGATAGCAATAACATAAAAATGGAGGATGCCAACATTATACTTAGAGCACTAGAAAGATCATTACAGCAGAAAATTAACAAAGTAAGATTGGACTTAAATTGAACTTTAGACCAAGTGAACAGACATTTACAGAACATTCTACTCAACAATTAGAGAATATACAGTCTTAAACATAGACCATTCTTCAAGATAGGCAACATATTATACAATAAAATTCTTAACAAATTTTTAAAAATCTAAATCATATCAAGTATCATCTTAGATCACAGTGGAATAAAGGTAGATATCAATACCAAGAGGAATTTCAGAAACTATACAAATACATGAAAATGAGACAGTATGCTCTGGAAGGATTACTGGGTCAATGAAGAAATTAGGATAACATTTAAAACATTTTTTAAACCAATTAAAATGAAAATACAACAATTCAAACCTTTAAGAGGCAACAAAAGTAGTGCAAAGATGGAGGTCTATAGCATAAAATCCCTACATCAAAAAAGTAGTAATAGCTCAAATTAACAATCTAATGTCACATCTCCAAAAACTAGGAACACAAGAACAAATTAAACCCTGGGAAGCAGAAGAAAAAAAACAAATCAGAGAAAAATAAATGAGATCAGTATTAGAAAAACAATACAAAGGATTAATGAAATAAAAAGTTGGTACTTCAAAAAGATAAATGAAGTTGATAAACCACCAGTGAGACTACCAAAGGAAAGAATAGAGAAGATCCAAATAAACAGAAATGGAAAAGGAAACAATAAAACTGATACTACAGACAGAAAAAAAAATCATAGACTATTCTGAGCCACTATACTTTCACAAGCAATTACACTTTCACAAACTAGAAAAGCTAGAGGAAATGGATAAATTCCTGGATACATACAATCTCCCAGAGATTTAACCAGGAAGAAATATAAATATTGAACAGATCAATAAGGAGTAGCAAGATTGAAGCAGTAATGAAAAAAATCCAAATTAAAAAAAATGCCTGGGACCAGATGAATTCTCACCTAAACTGTAGCAAACATACAAAGAAGAGTTAATTTCAGTCCTTCTGAAAATATTTCAAAAAATTGAGGAGGAACAAATTCCCCTTAACTCATTCTACAAGACCAATATCACCCCGATACCAAAACTAGACAAAGACACCATAACAACAAATAAAACTGCACACCAATATTCATAATAAACATAGATGCAATAAATCATTAACACAATGTCAGCAAATTGACTGCAACAGGACATCAAAATGATAATACACCATCATCAGATAGGATTTATCCCAGGAATGCCAGTATGGTTCAACATATGCAAATCAGTAAATATGATATATGACATAAATAGAATTAAGGACAAAAATCATCTTCTCAATAGATGCAGAAAAAGCATTCAATAAAACTCAGCATCTCTTAACAATAAAAAATCTTCAACAAACTAGGCATAGAAGAAACATACTTCAATAAAATAAAGGCAATATATGACAAACCCACAGCCAGCAGCATGTTTAATGGGGGAAAGCTGAAAGCATTTTCTGTAAGAACCAGAACAAGACAAGTATGCCCATTTTCACTACTTCTATTCAACATAGCACTTGAAGCCCTTGCCAGAGCAATCAGGCAACAGAAAGAGATAAAAAACATTCAAATTGGAAAAGAGGAAGTCAAAATAAACCTGTTCGCTAGGGATATAATCTTTCATCTAGAAAACCTTAAAGAATCCAATAAAAAACTCTTAGAATTAATAAATAAATTCACTAAAAATTCAAGATATAAAATTAATGTACAGAAATCAGTGTTTCTATACACCAAGAGTGATCTAGCCTGGGACTCTATCGAAAAAGCAATTCTATTTACAATAGCTATAAAAAAATTAATATGCCTAGGAATATATTTAACTGAAGAGGTAAAAACCTCCATAAGGAAAACTACAAAACACTGATGAAAGAAATTATAGATGACACAAGCGAATGGAAAAACATTCCATGTTCATGAATTGGATACTGCCCAAAGAAATCTACAGATACAATGCAATTTCTATCAAATTACCAAGATCACTTTTCACAGAATTTGAAAAAAAAAATATAAAATTCATGTGGAATCAGAAAAGAGCCCAGATAGCCCAAGAAATCCTAAGCAAAACAAAAAGAACAAAACTGGAGGATCACATTATATTGCAAGGCTATAGTAATCAAAACAGCATGGAACTTGTATAAGTGTAGACAGTAGTATCAGTGAAATAGAATAGAGAGCCATATGCAAAAGAATGAAATTGGACCCATACCTCTCACCACATACAAAAAGTAACTTATGTTGGATTAAAGACCTAAACATAGACTTGAAACTAAAAACATCATAGAAGAAAACCTAGAAAAAAACTCTTCAGGACATTGGCCTAGGAAAATTATTTATGACCAAATTCTAAACCAAACACAACAAAACCAAAAATAGACAAATAGAGATTATTGAAATGAAAAAGCTTGTGCACAGCAAAAGAAGCATTCAATAGAGTAAACTGATAACTTACAAAATGGAAAAAATATTTGCAAATTATGCCTCCAACAAAAGACTAATATCCAGAATCTACAAGGAACTCAACAAGGGAAGAAAGCAGGTAACCCCATTAAAAAGTGGGCTAAGGACATGATCAGGTATTTTTAAAAGACATAAAAGCAGCCAACTAACATTAAAAAAATCACTAATCATCAGAGAAATGCAAATTAAAACCACAACGAAATATCATCTTAGATATTTAAAATGGCTATTAATAAAAAGTTAAAAAATAACAGGTGTTGGCAAGGATGCAGAGAAAAGAGAATGCTTACACACTGTTGATGGGAATGTAAATTAGTAAAACCTTTCTGGAAAACAGTATGGATATTTCTCAAAGAAGTAAAGATAGAACTACCAGTTCATCCAGCAGTCTCACTACTGGGTATGTACCCAAAGGGAATAAAAACAAATGACAACAACAAAAATTACATCACAAAGACATTGCACTTGTAATTTTATCACAGCATTATTCACGATAGCAAAGATATGGAATCAACCTAAATGGTCATCAGTAGATGATTGGATAAAAATATGCATTACACACACACACACACACACACACACACACACACACACCACAGACTACTACTAAGCCATGAAAAGAATGAAATCATGTCTTTTGCAGCAACATAGGTGGAACTGGAGGCCATCATCTTAAGTGAAATAACTCATAAACGGGAAGTCAAATACTGCATGTTTTACTTATAAGTGGTAACTCAGTAATGAGTACACATAAACATACAGAGTAGAATAATAGACATTGAACACTCCAAAAGATGAGAGGGTGGGAGGTAGGTGAGGTTTGAAAAATTATGTTATGTACAATGTTCAACTATTAAAGGCTTCACCACAAATACAGTATACACATGTAAAAAATTTACACTTCTAACTCCTAAGTAGATTGCTAGTAAAAAAAAAAAAAAAAAAAAAAAAAAAAAAAACCATTTGGGGCTGTGGATATTTTCATGGTCTTTACTGTGGTTATGGTTGATTCCATTGTGTACATACACGAAAATTTATCAGATTGTGCACTTTGAGTATGCACAGCTTATTGTATGTTAATTATACCTCTGTAAGAAATTAAAGTAAAATGTTAAAAGAAAGCATATACAAGCAACAGTTCGACCTTTAGATACATTCTGATGACACATATTAGAATAACTACCTTACCATAATAGAAGAAGAAAATGGTGATTTAATCTATAGAGAATTTTAAATGAAATTTGAACTCAAAATTGTCAGGTATATCTGAGATTAGAGAGTAGAAAAATGAATTTCTACTTTGAAAGAGTTCAAAGAGACAAGTAAGATTATTAACAAAAGCAGACATACATTGAGTTTCAACACCATAAAATTTCAAAATAACATGAATTACAAAAAATAAAATTTTTAAATTTCCAGAAAATAAAACATGTTATCTAAAAAGTATTTAAAAGATGAGTATTAATTTTATCAATAGAAGCACTAATTTCCTAAAGACAATAGAGAAATACCTCAAAATCTGAGAGAGAAATGTATTAATCAATTTTAGGTTAAAATAAAGGCAGCGTGAGATAATCATGTCAGTTTACTTTACATGGACTTTTCATAAGAAACTGGAAAACTGAGCAAGCAAGACAGGGAAAATGAGTATCCAAACCAAAAAATCAACACTGGATAAAGGTAAATAATGACAGAAAGAAAACATTTTAGGAAGAAAGGCATGTAGTATTCCTCAGCACCAAGGAAGAATAGAGGATTCCAGGAATAATGCTTCCTAGAAAAACTAGTTGATTAACCAGAGTATGTATTTAAATGTGTTGAGAAATTAATACTTCAGTAGAGATTGGAGATAGATTATAAATTACCTATTGTAACAAATACTCAGTATTAAGAAAACACTATAGACTGTAATCTCCTAGAAAACACAAAACTGTACAGAAATCAGGAGTAATCAAAGTACACTGTATATATAGTTCAACTGTGAATAGTGTTCACACAATCATAATAAAAACACTAATTATTAATTTAAATAAAAAGTATGGCACAACTCTCTTGTGTATGAAGTAGAGTAAATAGAAAACTCTTCTGCATTAGAAAGTCAATAGATACATCTAACACTAGCAAATCAAGAAATAATAGAATAATCATGTTTTTTTGACATATAGCATAATATGATACAGAAAGAAAACTTTTCTTAATGATGTCATCTCAGGAGTGAAGATTTGGAATTCTCTAAGTGTGAGGGAATTTTTTTCTTAATTTTTCCCTATTATAAGCCATGTAGAATTATTTCACTTTGAAAACAATGACTATACAGATGTGATAAAGCATAACAATTAAAATTAATAAAACAGGAAAAGTCTGGCTTTGAATAATATACTGACAGCAATGAATAGTATTATGGTTTAGTCATAATGATACCGAGTTTATAGTTTTGAAATAACAATTTTGAGGTTTATTCTGGTATTACAAAATTACTAAATTTGTAAAATGAGAATATAATACTTGACTCATTAGACCAGCCTCATAAGGTGACTGATTTCTTCAAAGACTCATTCTCTCTCTCCTTAATCTGTAACTTCTTTACAAGGAGTATCTAAACTGAATTC